>NC_000017.11:5642626-5794141 GCF_000001405.40 Homo sapiens | reverse complement strand
GACCACTTACAGGGGCAACAAGCAAAACAGGAAGCTCCACAGCTCTTCTCCCTTCTCCTGCCTCCAGCATCCCTCTAGTGCCCCCTAATGACAAAACCCAATAGGAAACCCGCTGGCTAAGTAAAAATGCTGTTCCCACTCTCAGCTGCAAGTTGCAGAGCTGAGTGTGGAAAGGCAAGTCTGAAGGTGAGAGGCAGTAGCTTAGTAACCAACAAAAACTTGGGAACATCCCCTTGCCCTTTTGACCTTTAGCTTTCTCAACTGTAAAATGTAGATAATAATACCCAAGTCTCAGGGTTGTGGAGAAAATCCAGCAAGACAGAGACCTAATTGCAGGGTTTGGAGGGTACAATCTAAAGGTGAGAGGAATTGGAATTGTTCTTTTCCACCACCTGTCAGAAAAATCCCAAGGGAGCTTTTCCAGACTGGAGACTCTCCTTCTTTCAGATGACACCAGAAAATGATGTCATGTAGCTGAGGTTTCAGAAAGGTCTTGGGTTAGGAGGTGACCTGAAGTTCAGGCTGATGCGGGAGGAAGACAGAGGGATAGAGCCTTCATTGTCCCCAGCAACAGAACCAAAGTAGAATGAGCATCGGCCTATTCTGTTTCGTCAAAGCCAGAAGTCAGTCTCCACATGGGTCATTTCACTGAAGCCTTGAATTTATGCCTACCAGACTGTATCTAACTTATTGTTGTAACCCAGCAGCCTGCGCAGTACTTGACCCCTGGCATGCACTCAATGTGTTGCAGATTTGAAATAGAATTACAAAACTGTAGGAATTGGGTGCCCTAGTGGCAACTGCTGGTGAGAGGTGGTATTGCAATTCAGCTCTATGAGACCCTATACATGCCCAGAAGTGAGTACATCTTTGGAAGCTGCCAGTGTGGAATCAAAGAGTTTCCAGGGAAAGAAAAAGAATATATGCCAATGTTCGGAATTTAGTTAAATGGCAAAGAAAAGGAAAAAGATGTCATCTCTGGCTTTGTTGTCTCCCACTGTACCACTTGCTCACTCCATTCCATCCACAATGCCTTCCTACCCAAGTATACCCTGCAGTCTCCCGCCTCAGGCCTTTGGCCTTGCTGTTTTCTCTGCCCAAAAACACCTTCTCATATATTCTCATGGCTTGCTTTGTGGTCCCTACTCAAATGTCACCTCCTCAGAAGAGACTTCTCTGACCACTGCATTTAAAATGGTAACAATTCCTGTCATTCTTGCATTTCTTCAATGCACTTTCTTGTTTTTCTTTAATGCACTTATTACCTGCCATTATCTTGTACATATGTATTCAATTTTTTTCTTTGTCTCCTGAATATAAATTCCCTGAGAGTAGATGTCTTCATTGTTCTCAATTTTATCCCTAGCACCTAATATATGAACATAATAGTCACTCAAAAAGTATGTGTTGAATCACTAGAGAGAAAAAGACTGTGATGTGACTTAATGACAGCACTTTTAGGAGATTTCTGCACTTCTAATAGATTTGTTGTAAGCTGTGCTGTGAAGACTTTTCTCAGCTGAGCATTGACAAGGGTCCCTGTGAGAAAAGAGGCCCACAGTCCAGAAATCACGGATTCACCCGGGTAATGAGTGCTGCCATTGTCCTTCCCTAAATGCCCCTTCTGGTCTTCAATGGTGAACACGCTTCACTAATGAAAACCAGAAGAGACATTCTGGTGAAGCCCAGGAAACGACTGATCCATGTCTGTGGTGGACAGAGTATGTCTTGCTCTCCTTTCATGGGAAAAAAAAAACCCAGCAAAGAGGCCATAAGTGCAACCTAAGACTTTAGAAGTTAGTGTCCACAGGCCCTGAGAACTCTGAGGTAGTCTGTGGAGCATTTGTCAGTGCCCCACATTTATTATATTGTTACACATTTATTGTATTGTTCTTTGTGTTCACACAAGAAAGTCATTAAATCCTCATGAAAACACATCTCTGGCTTAATAATAGAAGTTAATGGAGAACTAGGATTTGCTTTGCTATCAACTTGGCTAAAATAGAGCTCATTCTATAATGCAACCGTCATCTGAATTTGCTGTCATCAGTCCCAATCAGTCTATTCTGTATCATTTCAGATAGCTAAAGAGAAAATATTTGGAAACTTGGTAACACAGAAGATTTTTTTAACAGTTAAGACTGGAATCCACATGGAGACCAACAAGATTAACTCTTGAATGTGGCTGATATTGTGTTCATGAGACAGAAGAAAGGTACTTCAAGATGCAACACCTTCTTTTGGAAACTCCAGTCTAAGTTGGCCAAGTCAAGACCAAGCTTATCAGATCCATCGGATTCTGGACTAGATCTTCCAACTGAACCTCCAGAGTCAGTGGCTGAAACTGGAGCATGTGTGCCAGTACCTGGCCACACTAATTATGAGGGCAGGTGGGAAGAGACAAAGAAGGAGGTTTCTTCCATTCCTGGATTCCTTCTTCTCCCCCCAAGTAAATGCTGCCACATCTCATGGGTGACAAACCTTCTATCCTTCTCGCCCAAGAGCTGTATGGATCTTTCATTTGTTTGGCTTCCACATTGAGTCCCTCCCCAGAATTTTCATCCAGGCGGGAGAGTCAGCTCTCCAGTGGTCGTCCCAGCCACACCTTTCCACAGGCATTCTCACTTCGCAGGCCTCACATACCTGCTATTTCTCAGCTTCAGCCTTAATTGCTTGTATTGTGCTTCTCACCTCAAAGGAAATGTTTCCCACGTCAACATTATTCAACAGGCCTCTGATTTTCTTATCAGAAATGTCATTCTGACATTTTAAATACCAACGGAGTCTTCTCCATAAGGTAGCTTTGATCTGGCCTCTCTCCAGCAAAAGGACTTTCAATTATGACCACCAGACCTGCCAAGAGCCCAAGAGCTGGGTACCACACAGACTCCTCCTGAGAAGTGCACTGACCGAATAGCCCACTGGACCTAGCCCTGAGGGCTGGCCCCAAGGCTTTTCTTACAACCTCCTCCAGAAGCCTCTCTTTCTCCTCACAGCCTCTATCCTACCCTTCATTGTGCCAAGAACTTCTTCAAAGTTAGAGCAAGCCATACTCAGCTCACTATCTAGGGAACAAAGCCATGCCCAAGATGAGGAGGCCCAGGAAACAGAAGCCCTACATCAATCAGACCCCATGAGGACACAGAATCCAACAGGGATGATGCAAAGGAAGAAACTCAAATTAAGGAACTCCTCTCAGTGTTGCGGCAGGAATTGTGAGGCATCACCACCCATAGGCATAAAGGAGAAGAGGAAAGAAATATGACTGGGACCCAGTGAGAGCTAGAGCCACTGAAGATGACACCAGACAGGACATGGACGGGTCCAGCAACTTCCAGAACATGGCCCAGAGCAAGGAGGGTCAGAGAAAGCCCCGCCTCATCCTCTCTCTCTCTTTCTCTCTCCCCTCTCCAATCTTCTATTAGTGCCTCACTGGCCAAACCCAACAGATAGTCAGCAAGGAAACCCTGGGTGATGTCCTCCTGGGGCACAGCACAGGTCAGGGAGGCAAAAAGGGCAGACAGGATTCGAGGGTATAGGACAGGGGTGCACAGAGAATAGCAAGCACCAGCAAAGTCTGGTTATAAACATCTACTCTCCTGCCCCTGCCTCGCCCTCCCCGAAGCTGGTGCCCACCCAACGCCCATCACTCATGGTCCTGGTTTCACGATCTCTATTCGTCTCTCATAGCTCAGGTCTACAAGGCCACTGGCAAACCTGAGGATGCAGAATCTTCCTGTTTTCCCTCCGTCTTCCCCGTATTTCCTTTCTATTCTCTTTTCACAAAGCTTCCTCTCATTCCCCCAAATACAGTTTTTACTAAGTCCCTGGGTCCAAGGCAGCTCTGCAGAGCCTAGGGTCACTTCAGTGATGTCAGGCAAAGAAGCAGGGGGAAAAACACGTAGGATCCTCTCCTAAAATTCAGGATCTAAGAGCCTAGGATAGACGCAGGATTCCGCAATGTCCCCTCTGCAAGTGAGCCAGGACTGTAGAAGCACAGGTTTTCTCCGCTGGGCAGCAACAAGCTGAGTTCCACTTCTGGCCCTGTCACTAGCTCCCATTCAGCCCAGTGATTCCCCTCATGCTTACAGACTGCTCAAATGAACCTCCTTCTAAAAGAAATCCTGGGAAGGAGTCAGAGAACTGGAAGAAGCTGTCATTGTTCCCTTGGAGTAACTGGGTTGACAGCAAACCCAGCACGATAGCCTTAAACACAGACGCTCGGCAGACATGCACCTGACTGAACGGAGTTCTATGGGAACCCAGCGGGGAGATTTCATTTTGTCATGCTCCCCATTCCCAAGTTGGGCCCTAATTCTTCTCTCCTCCCCCACAATACGGCGTATTCCTGCATTATGGGCGTCCTTCCATAGGGTGCTCCCGTGGCAGGGTAGCCTATGAAAAATGAGCCTCGCTGGCCATTGTGCAAATTCACAGTCTTGCCTGACAGCTAACAAGCTCTGTGGTCAGGAAGCGCAACAGAGTGAAGGTCCAATTACGGCAGAGGAAATCCTCCTACAAAGGGCTCAAATGCGCTAACAATCCATTGCGGAAGGTCAGGGAGCCCCTAACGGGCCGCCTGCTGTCAGAGAGGCAGCAAAAGGCTGAAAGTGAACCGACTGCTCCACAGCGGCAGCACGGAGATGTTTGTCCTGAATCTCTCTTGTTCAGAATCAGTCTTGACAGAAAAAAAAAAAAAAAGGGAGGGGGCATCACTAGGCAAGGGGACAAGCAAAGTCATTCGGCAATTTTTGTAAAGCGCAGCTCTGGAGGACTTCCCATCCCCTCATCAAATCCCTCTTTAGTGATTCCCCATTGCCTGCAGAATAAAATACCAAGGTCTCCCTGCCTGATCTTTAGAAAAACCCATTTCCCTACAGCCAGGTGTCTTAGAGGGCAGTTTCTGGGGCATGAGCAGAACTTAAAAGGTAGATTTGGGTTTTTTTGTTTGTTGTTTTTGAGATGGAGGGAGTGTTGCTCTGTCACCCAGGCTGGAGTGCAGTGGCATGATCTCAGCTCACTGCAACCTCTGCCTCCCAGGTTCAAGCGATTCTCCTGCCTCAGCCTCCCGAGTAGCTGGGATTGCAGGCACCCACCACCACGCCAGGCTAATTTTTGTATTTTTAGTAGAGACAGAGTTTCGCCATGTTGGTCAGGCTGGTCTCGAACTCCTGACCTTAGGTGATCCGCCCACCTCGGCCTCCCAACATGCTGGGATTACAGGTGTGAGGCACCGCGCCTGGCCTAAAAGGTAGACTTATATGCTCCCTCCCAAGTTCTTGAATGAGAATCTTGGAGGCAGGGTGGGGGCAGAATTCTTTCCTGGGTGATTCTCAACAAATTCATTCATTCACTCATTCATCCAATCAGCGAGTATTCAGTGATCAGTTAATCTGTGCCAGGCAGGCCCCATGCTGGGTGCTGAAGATAAGGGGTGAGCAAAAGGCATTCTCACTCTATTTTCCCTGGAGCAGCTGCTGAGGACAGACACGAATCACATAATCACACATGTGAGCTCAGACTTAGTCACCAACTCTGGGTACGGCCGGAGCCATGCGTGGTGCCCACAATGACAGCATGATATGGGGGCTGGAAGCCCAACCTTGGTGTCAAACAGACTTCTCTTGGTCCCACTTCTGACTGTGAAACCCTGGGCAAGGTCCTGCACTATTCCAAGTCTCAGTTTCTTCCTCTGTGAAATGGGGCCAACCATACATACCTCATACTCCTCAGAAGACAGTGAGATAATCCACGTGAGGCATTATCACCATGTCTGGTGCTTCCTATGTGTACAGTAAATGTTGGAGAGAGGCTGTGGTGGCAGGACTGGAGTTGGTTGTCATACAACATGGCATTAATAGGAGTTGGTTGTCATGCAACATGGCATTCGTAGGTGCTCAGTGAAGTTTCGATGGAATTGAACTTGACTTCTACAATTTCTCCTAGTTACATTTTCTATCATACTACTGATTTGAGGAGAATTTCACTAGGATATCATAGTCACTTTCTTCCTTTCCTTTGGAGGAAGGAAACCAGACACAGAAACAGCCATTTCAAACCAACAAGTGGGACGAGGTGCAGTGGCTCACACTTGTAATCTCAGCACTTTGGGAGGCCGAGGTGGGAGGATCATTTGAGCCCAGGAGTTGGACACCAGCCTGGGCAACATAATGAGACCCTGTCTCTATAAACTAATAGTCAATAATAGTAATAATAATAGTAATAAGCCGGACATGGTGGTGCACACCTGTAGTCCCAGCTACTCCAGAGGCTGAAGGGGGAAAATTCCTTGAGCTCAGGAGTTGGAGGCTGCAGTGAGCCATGATCATGCCACTGCACACCAACCTGGGTGACAGACCAAGACTCAAATAAATACATAAACAAACCTAACAAGGACCAGGGTCTACTTCTCCGATATCTGGTGGGTTGAGACTGTCTCATGACCTTGGCCAACTCTCTTGCCCTCAAAGAAGCGTCATATAAATAATGAGGAAATTGGACCATGTGATGCCTCAAACCCCCAAGGTGGGTACCACCAGCTTCTTGTTTTGCCAGATAGGACATTTTTTAAATTATAATTATTATTTCATTTAAAAATGATATTTTAGCACTTAAAGCGTAGAAAGGACATTGTTTCAGAATAAAATAACAACTTTTCCCAAAAAGAAATGTTGACCACCTTCCATGTACATGATGCGGACATTCGTGTCTCACTTTGACTAGCTGGTGAAAGCTCCCCTCACAGACCACCCCAGTCCAGAGACCCACAGTGGTAGGGACTGATGACCTAATCTGAGAATGATGATGATGGTGGTGACGATGATGATAGCAACAGTAAACATTTACACTGCAATCAGTACATCGGAGGCACTGTCCTGAGCACTTTCTATCTACTAACTCATTTAACATGCACTATCACCCAATGAAGTAGTTCTAATCGTGGCCCCATTTTGCAGAAAAAGTAATTTTCCCAAGTTCTCACCAGTAGAAAGTAGCAAGATGGAATCTAAGGAGCCTGTACTACTCTTAACCACTCCACTCTACAGAGAGGGAAACCGAATTTCCCAGAAAAGGAAAAGAATTGCTCAAGGTCACACAACTAAGCAATACAGAGACTCCTACTTTCTGACTTTTCCCCAAAACACACTGTAGTGTTTGATCCTGCCTCTCATGCATCGAGACCCAGCTCCCCAGTGGAGGAAGGTGGCCCCTCCAAATAAACTTCTCGAGGGAGGTGAAACAATTAATTTTTGAAAACAGTCAGCTCATCATTCGGATAACTTGACCGTTCTTTTTCTCCAGTTTATTCCACCCAGCAGCCTGGGTTGCCTGAGGCAGTCAACTGCTGCTCGCTTCTTCTGGACCTTGGCTTTACCACCAGGTAAGTGCAGCTGTGATGAGATGGCTGAGGCTCAGGCACCCACCGGGAGAGAAGAACAACGTCCAATTAATCACCTCAAAGCCACTGACAAACACCAAGCCATCTGGCAACTCCACTGAAACCTGGACAAGGCTGCATTTCAGCCTCACTTAGAAGTCCAAGTTAGGCCCCTTAGATGCTGAGGGAGAAAGACAATGTTTCCCTTTCCTCTCCTCTTGTCTCCGGCTCTTCAGCCAGGGTTTACTGAGCTTCAGCTGTGTGTCAGGGGATGCAGAGATACATCAAAGCCAGGCCTGCAGTTGCTCACAGCTTGGAAGGAGAAACAGATAAACACACGAGTCACTACAGCACTATGTGGTAAGTGTCACAGCAAATAGGGGAACTCATACCATGTCAGCACCAAGAAAGAAACACCTGCTTTCTTGAGGAGGCTTCAGCCAGGATTTTCCCTGGGGACTTGAACGATGAGTCGACTGGTTAGGGCAAGATGAGGCCACCAGTAGACTGTCCCCTATGGAGGCCAGCAGAACTGCTGAACCATGGAACTTTCCAGCACAGAAACAGCGTGGGAAGCCACGTGAGCTCCCTCCCTTCCTGTAGGGGGTACCCAGCTTCTCCCCGTGTCGTGGATAAAAGATACCAGTTACCCAACGGGACCATGCCAGGCCACCACTCTGAGAGGGCCTGATGGTGGGGAACAGTCAAGAAACACAGATGGCTGGCCGGCAGGACTGGGTTCCTCAGCCTAAATGTTCTTGCTTCGTACTTAGATTCACAGAAGCATAAAACAGGCTATTTAAATTTGACATCAGAGGTTATTCTTCTATGCTGGGAAGTAGCGATCTGGCCCAGTAGAAATAGCAATCCTTTAAATTTCCCTAACACTGTATAGTTACACTTCATTTCATTTGGCTGGTACCTGC
Organism: Homo sapiens; assembly: GCF_000001405.40. NCBI lineage: Eukaryota > Metazoa > Chordata > Mammalia > Primates > Hominidae > Homo > Homo sapiens. Next base: position 5,785,837 of record NC_000017.11, on the reverse strand, counting down.
AGATGTAACCGGTGTTCACATCTGCCCTGTGATTGTCCCAAGTAATCCTCTATGTGACTGGGTGTCATCTGTGCATCCAGCCACCAGCCAGAACTTTCCACCCTAAACTTTTGGTGCCCATGTGTCCAAAGCCTCTGGGTTTGAGGCCTGGGGGAGCCAAAGTTCTTTTCCTTCAGGAAGAAAATAAATTGCTCTGAGCAACCGAAGGGAATCCGAGATAATAGGCAGTCTTAATGAACAGCTCACACAGCACCCAGCTCAGTGGAGCACAACGGGGCTGACAGGAAATGTCTCATCTCCAAACACAAATGCAGGGTCCGGCAAAAAGCAGGCAGCACAGGGGACATGCTTGACTGGGAATGAGAAAAATGACTGTGACTAGAGGGAAAAAAATTCCAATTACTTCAAATTTGGCAATTGATCCTTCTTGCACAAATGGAACCTGGCCAGGCATGGAGACTCCAGGAATCTCTTGGGGGAGGTTGAGGGTTGCTAGTGAAAGGGGCTTCAAGGGGTTTTGCTGCAAATTCCCGTGGAGCTTGGGGGATGGAGTGGATGGGTGTCTGACTTGTGTCTGAAAATTTTAAAGGACAGAAGGTTGGCTGAAGTAGCCTGTGGCAGCATTGTAGAGAGCAGAGGTGAGATGGTTCAGAGTGGTCTTAAAAGAAATTTACCCAGAGGGCTGCCTGGAGGGGCATCAGGACCCCAGAAGACAGTCTGCGTGAGGAAGAGCATCCCCAGGAATCAGAAGTCAACAGAGAATGTCATAAACTGCCCACAGAGAGTGGGCAAGTAAAAGAGATCCCAGAATAGGGATGAGGGTAGTATATGGCATCATAGGTCACGATGATTCACTCCTTTATAATAGTCACAGTTTGGCTATGGACTCCTGGTGAGCACAGGTGACTGCTCACAGGTGCCTTGCTCCTTTACTTTGAGCTAGGCCTGTGACTTGCTATGGCCAAAGGGGTATTCTGAAAGCAGGGAAAAGGTGAGCAAGGCAGGGCTGCAAATATGCTTGCATGTGGCAGGGCTAGCCCTCTGGTGTCCCAGTGATCCATCTTGAGAAGATGAACCTGGGCCTGAGCCCTACAGGGAACACAGAGGGGCCAAGAACCAAACCCACAACCTGGAGCCACAGCCACCTGAACCCATAGCTTGAAGCAGACCCACCAGCCAAACAGTCTGAACCAGCCAAACAGCTGCAAACCCATGACCATGAGAATAAATGCTGGTTTTAAGCCACTGAGTTCTGGAGCTGTTTGTTATGCAGCATTATCCAGCAGAGGTTGATAATACCAGGGGTCTGAAAAACTCTCAGCAGCACCTATGAGAGAAAGGCTTGGCTCTAAACAGCAGCTGATGTCAGAGGAAATAATTGCCAGATTCCCCTCACCCCATACACACAGTTATGAAAACCATCCCTGCCCTTTTCTTCTTTCCTTACCCTAGTCCACACCTCCTAGCCTCACTCATCCCTCATTAGCTAGTGGGATGAGGAGAGGAGAATGGGCGAGGGTGATGGTCAGTTTTATGTGTCAAGTTGGTTAGGTTACAATCCCCACGTATTCAAACAAACATGAATCCATGTGTTGCTGTGAAGGTATTTTGTAGATGTGATTAAAGTCCATAATCAGTTGATGTTAAGGAAGGGAGGTTATTCCAGATAATCCGAGTGGTCCTGATTCAATAAGTTGAAAGCCTTAAGACCAGAACTGAGACTTCCCTAAAGAAGAAGAAATTCCACCTGCAGATAGCAGAATCAGCTCGCGCCTGCAAGTTCCATCCTGCCCTTCCTGGAAGCCTTCCCTACAAGTTTCAGGCTTGCCTAGGCAGCCCCTACAATCACATAAGCCAATTTCAGGCAATAAATCTCTTAATATTTATCTCCCATTGGCCTTGTTACTCTGGTTGAACTCTGACTGATAGAGATTTCTGGAACCTAGAAGTGAGGTGCTGCTATAACAAATACACAAAAATGTTGAAATGGCTTTGGAACTGGGCAGTTGGCAGAGGATGAAAGAATATTGAGGGGCACAATAGAGAAAGCAGAGATTGTCTTGAACATACTGCCAATAGGAAGATGGATGTTAAAGCCTCCACCATGAATGACCAGAAGGAAATAAGGAGCACAATAATAAAACATGTAGCATTTTACTAAACACCCAAATCATTGTGAACAGCCCATTGGCAGAAATAGAAGTTTAAAGATGCTTCTAATGAGGGCTCAGAAGGAAATGAGGAGCGTGTTATTAGAAACTGGACGAAAGTGGACCTTTGTTACATAGAAGCAGAAAGCTTAGCTGAACTGTGTCCTACAGTCATGTGGAAAGCAAAACTTATACATGATGAACTTGAATGTTTAGTTGAGGAGATTTCCAAGCAAAGTGTTGAAGGTGCAGCCTGTTTTCTTCATGCTGCTTATAGTAAAACATGAGAGGAAAGAGGTAAATCGAGGAGAGAACTGTCAAGAAAAAGGAATTGGGAGATTCTCAGCCTATCCACAATTTTGCAAATAATACAAAATTAGGGGATTCGTTGTCAAGAAAGCATGCACTGGAAAGGAGGTACGAAACTGGAAGTGGTGTCAGACCAATGCGGGACCACAAGCCAAGGAATGCAGGCAGCCACTGAGACCTGGAAAAGGCAAAGAAGTAGATTCTCCCCTAGAACCCTCCACAGGAATACTGTCCTGACAACCCATTTTGGACTTTTGAACCACAAGATAATAAATCAAGAATTATAAGACAGTAAATCTGTGTTGTTTAAGCCTCTAAGTTCATGATAATTTGATGCAGCTTCAATAGGAACCTATTGCAGGGAGTAAAGAGAGAAAAATCTCCCCCAACTCCCTTTCCTGATTGCAAGCTTTAAATGAAGTTTGGAGCCTTGGGTATTGCCCCAGATTAGACATACTAATTACTGAACTGAGACTGTCCAAGGGGCTGAGGCAACCAGATAACATTTTATGATCTAAATGTGGTCAGAGAAGTGCAGGGCCTTCTGGAGATCTCATTAGGATCAGGGGAAAACAAGTCCTACAAAGTGAGTTTAAAGAGGCAAAACTAAAGTTGCTTTATAAAGGCATCTGAGGCCAGGCACAGTGGCTCACGCCTGTAATCTCAGCATTTTGGGAGGCTGAGGCAGGCAGATCACCTGAGGTCAGGAGTTCAAGACCAGCCTGGTCAACATGGTGAAACCCCATCTCTACTAAAAATACAAAAATTAGCTGGGCATGGTGGTGCACGCCTGTAATCCCAGCTACTCGGGGGACTGAGGCAGGAGGATTGCTTGAACCCAGGAGGTGGAGGTTGTAGTGAGCCGAGATTGCACCACTGCACTCCAGCCTGGCAACAGAGCAAGACCTTGCCTGCATGGAGGGAGGGAGTCACAGGAGTACCCTTATGTCTTGGAGTCTTTGGTGAATTATTAGCCAGGGTTTCACCCACTCAGTCCCAGGTCTAGACTCAAAGGTCAAATTCCCTGAACATGAAAGAGTCCCCTTGGGATGCCATAGGGAGCAGACGTGGACCATGGACCCCACACAGTGAAGCTGAGGCTGAGTGGTTTTGAATTGGGATGGGACTATCTCCACATCCAAACCCTGCCCCTTCCTAGGTGTGTGTCTTCAACAAATGACTGAACTTCTCTGGACCTTGCTCCCCTTATTATAAGGACCATCATGCTCACTTCATGAGGCTCTAATGAAGGTTAAAGGAGACAGCACTAAGGGAGTAGTAATGCTCAAAAAACAGTAGCTGTAATAATAATAATTAATATTACAATTAGATCCATCCCCACTTGCATCTGTGCCTGCACCTGCACTGCACCTGAGCCATCCTCCACCTGCACCTGAGCCATCCTCCACCTGTACCTGCATCTGCACCTGAGCCATCCTCCACCTGCACCTGCATCTGCACCTGAGCCATCCTCCACCTGCACCTGAGCCATCCTCCACCTGTACCTGCATCTGCACCTGAGCCATCCTCCACCTGCACCTGCATCTGCACCTGAGCCATCCTCCACCTGCACCTGCATCTGCACCTGAGCCATCCTCCACCTGCACCTGAGCCATCCTCCACCTGTACCTGCAGTGCCGTCGCCACCTCTGCCACCACTGTTCTCACCAGCCCCAGCCCCACCCCGACTGTCAGCTACCACAAGGCCTTCCCTCCTGAAAGCTCCATGGCCATAAACAGTTTATGTGATTATTACATTTAGCCCACATTTGCAATGACTTCCTCTCTTTAATCACTTTGAAGATGTTTCAAATTCCTTTCCAACGTGACTGAAATCAAAGTGGCACCTGTGAAGGGAGAAAGCCTGCCTGCCGGTGCGAGGTGGAGACGTAAAACAGTCAGGTTTGATGGGGAGAAATTATGTCTTGCTTAATTCCTTTTACCCTATAATTACCAGGCGCGACCACGTGGGTTCACAGCAAAAATAACTTGCCACGTGAAGACGTTGTCTATAGAATCCTGGTTTGAGTCCCCAGGCAAGACCCTCAGAGGAGGATCCCAGGCAGCCCCCGTCCAGGCATCTACACAGTACTGTGGTCCACCTTCCTCACTAGCTTTCCAACCCCACCCCTGACCCCCAACCACCGAGGCTCAATTCCCAGGCACCCACTCTGCCTTATCCTCTTCCCCTCTCTGCAGCATTTGACTGGCGGTCACCTCCCTCTTCACACTCTTCCCTGGTTTGACTTCCCTATGCCTCACCCCACCCTCAGTCTCCTTTGTATCTCTCTCCCCTCCTCCCTTTCACCACCCCCTGGGCACCAGCATCCCTGAGGCCCTATCAGCATCTCTCTTCTCTTTCTTCTTTCCTCCCCGTCTCTCCTTTTTCTCTCTCACATCTCCTCTCTCCTCTTCACTCCCATTCCTTCAGACAGCAGGTCTACCCTTCAGACTCTCAAACCCACAGCCCATCTGCGATCTCCAGACTTCAGGCCTCTAACTTCCACTTCCAGCTGCTGGCTTAGTGTTTCCACTGGATACCCTGCTGCGTCCAAACCCACGCCCTCCTGATTTCTCTTTCTCCAGGTAAGAACTCCACCACCGCGGCTTACTTCTATATCTCTAAAGCCACTCTACCTTGCCTTTCTCCTCACGTCTGGATCCAATCTGACACCGCCCACGCGGGAGCGCTCATGAGGTGGCTTAGAGGAAATTACAGGAGCCTTTGAGTCATAGGCACTCAAGTTCAGATCCAGGCTGGGAGCCTTCCGGTCATATGACTTTGGTGTCCTTATTTATAAAACAGCAAGGAAAATTCTTACCTCCCAATATGTTTTTTAAGAACCAAGTTATACAATATACGATTATGGTTAACACATCTTCCCCACCCCACCTCCATTTCCTGCCCTACTTCCAATGCTTTTACTGAGTCTACAGTAAATCTCAGAACTGGTCTCTGCCCCCTAGCCCCAGTACTCCCTCCCATCCATCATCCACCTTTCTGCCAGAGGGCTTTTGCTAAAACTTAGTTCTGAACCCATCACTCCCCTATTTAGAACCCTTTGGTGGTTGCCTGTGGCTCACAGGTTAAAGTTCAAAGCAGAAGCTGTGTCAATGTGATGGGAGTGAGAACCAGTTGACTATGGGGCCATCCAGACATTTCAGATCCTCATCCCCAACTAATTAGTTGTTTACACTTTGGGCCTCACTTTCCTCAACTATTTTTTGTGTGTTTGTTCAGACACAGTCTCACTCTGTCGCCCAGGCTGGAGTGCCATGATGCAATCTCGGCTCACTGCAACCTCCGCCTCCCAGGTTCAAGCAATTCTCCCACCTCAGCCTCCAGAGTGGCTGGGATTACAGGCACCCGCCACCATGCCTGGCTAATTTTTTTTTTTTTTTTTAGTAGAAACTGGGTTTCACCATATTGGCCAGGCTGCTCTCGAACTCCTGACCTCAGGTGATCCACCCACCTTGGCCTCCCAAAGTGCTGGGATTACAGGCATGAGCCACTGCAACCGGCCCTCAACTATTTTATTGTCATAAACTCCTAACTCACAAGACTGTGGTGAGAAGTGAACAGACTTTAGAAAGTGCCTACTGGGGTTTCAGCACACAGTAGGTGGGTCCCTGTCCCTCTTTACTCCTCACCTCCCCACGTTCATCCTCAACCCCAACCAGACCATTCACACTCTGGAGTTTCTGTGTCTCTGCTTATCCACCCACCTCTCAGTTTATGCATAATCCTTTTATGCTTTTGGAAACAAAGTGGTGGTTTCAACTGCCTGTCACCATGCTGGAGGCCTGAGCAGGCACAGACTCACAGCACCACGGGAAGGCCAGTCACAGGGCACATGCTATTTGCAGCATCACTAGAAAATGTTTCCCAAAGCAGTGTTCCCCTCTCTGGGGGGCTGGCCATGGTGCTTCATGAGCTCTTTTACTGCCCAAGTTTTTTTTTTTTTTTTTTTTTTGTGATAGAGTCTCACCCTTGTTGCCCAGGCTGGAGTGCAACGGCATGAACTCGGCTCACTATAACCTCCGCCTCCCAGGTTCAAGCAATTCCCCTGCCTCGGCCTCCCAAGTAGCTGGGATTACAGGCACCTGCCACCACGCCCAGCTAATCTTTTGTATTTTTAGTAGAGCTGGGGTTTCACCATGTTGGCCAGGCTGGCCTCGAACTCCTGACCTCAGGTGATCCACCCACCTTGGCCTCCCAAAGTGCTGAGATTACAGGTGTGAGCCACCGTGCCCGGCAGATGTTTTCTTTTATCATCTTTAAATGAAAGCTCTGGATTAAGAAACAGCAAAAGGTGGCTGTGCCATCTGTGGAGGAAGCACGAGGGTTATAAGTCATGTTGATGAAGGCAAACAGATCCTAAAGATGAACCTCCTGCATTCCCATAGTAGAACCTGTGCAGAACAATGTCAAAGAGGCCCTGGATTAAAGAACATTTCAGTGTGGAGACTCTCGGACGGCACACACTCCAAGAGCAAGAATTCCTACGGGAAGAAGGTGGTAAGTAAAAGGTCAGGGCCAATGTGGCCAGTTGATTTTTATTTTGCTTGATTCACTAGTAAACATACATGCCTATTTTTCCCTTAAAAAGTGGTTACATACCATTCACAGTCAGATGCCATATATCCAAAGGGTGGAAAGAAAACACCTGTGATTCTTGCTTTTTCTTTTTTCAAAGTAAAATATCATTTTGATTCAAGCCTTATTTAATTGTCTGGGGCATCTCAGGACTCACAGTTGGGTCTGTGGAGAGGAGTGTGACCTTGACCTTGGCTTTGGAGAATGAACCTGCTCTGTGCACTCCCCTCCTTTGTCCAGGGTCTCCCTCCTGATGTCCCCGAAACTTTCCCAGTCCCGCTCTGCACATGGCACGTGGCCTGGAAATGTAACCAGCCACTTCCCACATTTTTTTTCTATTGCACTTCTAAGGATCTTTTTTTTTTTTTGGGCAGAAAAATATACACAACATCAAATTTACCATCTTGACCATTTTTAAGTGTACGGCTCAGTGGCATTCACACATTCACACTGTGCAGCCATCACCACCACCTCCAGAACTCTTTTCATTTTGCAAAATTGAAACTCTGTACCCATTAACCAACTCCCCCTTGCCCCGCTTCCCCCACCCCAGCCATCACCATTCTACTTTCTGTCCCTGATTTTGGCCACTCTAGGAACCACGTATGAGTGGAATCATACAGTCTTTTGGTATCTGGCTTATTTCACTCAGCATATAATGTCTTCAAGGTTCATCCATGGTGTAGCATGTGTCAGGATCTCACTTCTTTTGAAGCCTGAATACCACCTTTTGTTTACCCATTAATAGACACTTTGGATTGTTTTCACTTTTTTTTTAAAGCATTTGAGGTAAAAACATACATATATAATTTAGCAACTTTATCATGTTTAAGCTTCCACCTTTTGGCTCTTGTGAATAACGCTACTATGAACATGGGTGTGCAAATCTCTGTCCAAGCCCCTGCTTTTGCTCCTCTTGGATATACACCCAGAAGGGGGATTTCTTTCACTATTCTGTTTTGCATCACAGTTAAAGGGTTACAAATCTTCTGTCATCACCCTCCATCCCTAAAACAGCAGCGCCTCACATAGCACAAATCTTTCCTGAAATACAGTCTCTCTCATTCTGGCACACACCTTTGCACCTGGCTGCAGGTGACCTGAGTTGGCCAGAAGTAAGCAGTTGCTGAAGTTTTGCTGATTTGAACCCAGCTCAAGGTGTATGTTTTTTCCTGGCCATTCTTCTGAGGCCAGAGTTCCCCCTCTTGGCCTGAAATGCAAAAGGGAACCAAGATTTGCACATTTTTTCTTAATTGCCCTGGACACTCATTCCCATCCTCTGTGCTTTCAGGTAGTTTTTCCCACTTAGCCTGAAATATTCAGTCATTCCAGGCCCTTGGAGGTTTTCCAGGAAATCTCACTTACTAATAAAGTGCCCTTTTGGCAGGGCAGGACAGCAAGGGCCAGAAAGGAGGTCAGAAGCCCATGGGGTGAAGCTGGCTTGACCCAGGCCATTAGAATGAGCAGTACCCTCCCAGACCAGCTGTGGAGAGGGCAGAGATCAGGGGGTGGCCCAAACCACAAGGACACTCAAAGCCAAATGTGGCCATCACCAAGGGATTCGGAATGGAGAGGCAAGTTGCAGGAGCCTGAGGCCTCCCTGAGCCCTGCACTACTTGACTCAGGAAAAAAAGTCTAGGCCAAGCTAAACCGAGTCTTTTAGTACAATAAACCGATACCAGGCATGGGCTGAAGAAGAGCAAAATGTCCCAACTACACGGGAGGGGAAAGAGCACCAGGCTGGGAGTCAGGAACTCTAGGAATTTTTTTTTTTTTTTTTTTGACAGAATCTCACTCTGTCACCCAGGCTGGAGTGCACTGATGCAATCTTGGCTCACTGCAACCTCCATCTCCCCAGTTCAAGCGATTCTCCTGCCTCAACCTCCCGAGTAGCTGGGATTACAGGCATGCACCACAGCGCCCGGCTAATTTTTGTATTTTTAGTGGAGAGGGGGTTTCACCATGTTGGCCGGGCTGGTCTCAAACTCCTGACCTCAGGTGATCTGCCCGCCTCTGCCTCCCAAAGTGCTGGGATTACAGGCGTGAGCCACCATGCCTGGCCTCTAGGAAGAATTTTCAGGATGGCCTCAACCATTCCTATGTATTTACCACAAGACGGCTTTGCAGCTCCTCCCTCCAGGAGGCAGAGTCTATTTTCCCTCTCCTTATATCTGAGCTCACCTGTGACTTGCACTGACCAATAAAATTCAGTCCAAGTGATGCCAGGATCTTCTGGGCCAGACCTTGAGGGGTCCTGCTGTTTCTGCTTTCTCCCTCTTTCTCCCCTGAGACCGCTATGTAAGAAAACTGATCTTGAGGGGCCACATGGAGGTTAACTGAGGAACCCAGCCAACAGCCAGACATGTACAGTGAGGCCAGCCCGCCCAACCATCCAGGGAACACAGTGAGCCCAGAAATACCAGCAGCAGAACAGCCAGCCAATCACAAATCAAGGAAAATAAGATGTTACTATAGTTCTGAGTCACTAAGGTTTGGCAGGAGGTGGTTGTTGCAAAGCTGTGGTTAACCAAGGCTAAGTCTTAATTCCTGCTCCACCAAGAAGCCACTGCATGGCTCCAGGCAAAACACCTTTGTTCCCTGGTCTTCTGTTTCTTCTGCAATACAATTAAGGGAGTAAGAAATGAGAAAGGAATAGAAAAGAATCACAGGCTTTAGGGCTCATCAGCTAGCATCTTAACTCTGTCACTACCGGTGTGACCTTAGACAAGCTCCTTAACCTCTCTGAGCCTCAATTTTCTCATCTCTCATATAAGAGTAATAATACCTGATTGAGTTTCTGTGAGGATGAGTTGAAATAAAGTGCTCAGCCAATAGTAGGTACTCAATAAATATTAATAGCGATGTCCTCGGGGAGCTGGGATTATGGTTAGGCACATGGACTTTGGAGCTACCTTCTCCAGGTTCAAATCCCAATCATGCTACTTTCTAGCTGTGTGGTCGTAGGCCAGTGACTTAACACCTGCACCTCAGTTTCCTCACATTATTATTAGATGACAATAGTACCTAGCTCGTAGGGTTGTTGTGAAAATTTAGAGAGTTTATACATGTAAAGAGCTCAGGGCTGTTTCTGGCACATAACAGGTGGCTCAATAAGTATTATATGTGTGTTTTTTTGTTTTTGTTTTTTCAGTTTATAGAACCCATTCCATCTACTTAACCTTCCCCTGGTCAGGTACAGAGGTGAGGAAACAGGCTGATGAGCTTGCCAGTTGATTCGCGCAAGGTCACAGAGCTAACAAATGTCAGGAGAGAAGATTCAAACTCAGGTCTGCAGGACTCTGAGCCCGGACAGATTAGTAAAATTCAACCACCATTTACTATGTGCCTGCCCCTGTGCTGGCCTTCGGAGCTGCAAGAATGTATGAGACCTTTCTCCACCCTCAGGCATTCTTGGGAGGGCAAACAGGCAACATTGCAATGTGATACGGGCTGTATAAAGGGCACTCAGAGCCATTAACTCTGCTGGGGCAAGTCCTAGGAAGCACAGAGGGGGTTCTCCCATGCTGAGTATTAAAACACTAGTAGATTCGAGCCACGTGCACGAGGAAGTACATTTGAGGCAGAAGGCGCAGCATGGGCAGGAGCTCGGAGAAGGGACTGGCAGCATGTGTGCAGAACCACACTAGACATCAGGGTCTAGTGAGGCTGGTGAGAACATAGGATTTCTTTCCTGCCACACATAAAATACCAAAACAGATTCTTAGGGATGGCAGTGAAGACCACAGCCAGGGCCTCAGTCACCCGTGACTGTCTCTCTCATCAACACCTTCTGGCAAAGCCATAGTTTCCATAATGCCCTTGGACATACCCTTTCAATCCTTCCTTGGAAGGGATAAAAAAGGAGGAAACAAGTTTATTCTCTTTCTACTCCCTCCTACTCCAGACCAGCCTGTACCATCCCAGACCCTGGCACGACCAACCCCACCTACTCCCTATCTCCCTGGGCACTGACTAGTAAGGCATGAACTAAATGAGTTTGCACTTGAACTCCAAATCCCAAAACCTTGCAGGCTTTGAAGGATGCTTGAGGGTCACCTGGTCTGATAGGGCTCCATGCAGCAGTGGGAGGTGGAGGCTGGGGGGTGGAGGTGGAGGCTGGGGGTGGAGGTGGAGGCTGGGGGGTGGAGGTGGAGGCTGGGGGGTGGAGGTGGAGGCTGGGGGGTGGAGGTGGAGGCTGGGGGGTGGAGGTGGCTCAACCCCAGGTGTGAAGGACTCATGAGTTACCAAGAGCAATCTTCCCACCCTGAGACAGGCTCTTGCCCACACCTCCTGGCGTCTGGAAAACAGCGGACCCGTAAGCCTCAAAAATGAGCTTCCTAAGGGCTGCTGAGTGGACACCTTTGCCTGTTCCATAAGTTCTTATTGAAGTGCCACAATAAATCATGCTTTGTGACATGTATGCAGCCTATGGGAAAAATCCATCCTAACTCTTGAATTCCCATTTCTAATGATCCTCAAGAAATTATTGAGAAAATCAAAACACTGTGTTTCGAAGGACTCACCACGGTTCAAACGGTTTCCACAAATCCAGAACGCAAAAGGCATTTTTCAAAGGTTTACTGTTCCCCAAATGACAATAATGCCATATTGACTGACTTCAGAGAAGCTCTGGGAATTTGGAAAAACCAGTCAAGCAAGCAAGATCTTTAACAGAGAAAAAAAAAAGTTGGTGAACTTGACAATTTTGTTAAAGTTCACAGCATTTTCCTGTTTTGACAGCACTTTTGCAGGTCCTGATGCCTCCGGGTCTTGGATAACACCATCCTCTACTTAGAGCTCCAGCCTCCAGCATCCCCAAGCCAGCCTGCCCCCCACGCTGCCAGCAGAGACATCTTTCTAAAACACAAATGGAATGTTACTGCTCAAAACCTTGCTGCAGCTTCTGGGGTGTTACTCTTGAAAGAAACTACAACAGTTCTCCAGCTTCTCCGGAATCCCCCAACCCACCTCAGCCAGAGGGAAGAAAATTTGGGTACTATCGACGGCCTGAGATTCATGATAGATACACACTCGCATTCATTCATTCAACAAACATTTAAGTGCATATTATATATGAAAAAAACAGGCAAAAATCTCTGCCTTCATGGGGTTTATATTCTAGACAGAGAGAGAGACAGACAAATCAGATAAATAAGATATATTGTACATTAGATAGTGATATAACAAACATTATGTGCTGGATGAGCCGGATGATGGAAGCAAATCCCCCCACGCACACACCCCACCCCAAGGCCTTCCACATGGGGTTTTTGGTTTTTGTTTTTCTTGAGACGGAGTCTCACTTTGTCACCCAGGCTGGAGTGCAGTGGTGCGATCTCGGCTCACTGCAACCTCTACTTCCCAGGTTCAAGTGATTCTCCTGTCTCAGCCTCCTGAGTAGCTGAGTAGCTGAGTAGCTGGGACTACAGGCGCACGCCACCACGCCCGAATAATTTTTGTATTCTTAGTGGAGACAGGGTTTCACCATGGTGGCCAGGATGGTCTCGATCTCCTGACCTCATGATCCACCAACCTCAGTCTCCCAAAGTGCCGGGATTACAGGCGTGAGCCACCGCACCAACCACAGCTCTTCTCTTTAACAAGCACTTAATCCTACCCCGCAGTAGCCCTCCTGGGAGCAAACGGGGTGTCCCACCTGATGTGGGTTCGAAGATGCTTGTCTGTGCATCTCAACCCAAGCTACAACCGTCCCGTCCTCCCTGATCGCAAACACATCCCTTCCCAGAAACAAACCTGTCACTTTCTTCTCTGTTAAAAGGCAATCTGCAACTTGAGGCAACAACGGAAGTCTTGCGAAGATAACGGCGGAGCGTGCCAGTGGGTTTCCTAATATGGAGGGACTGCCCTGTAGAGAGGTAGGAGGCGTGGAAATTCCCAGCAGCTGAGTCTTAGTAATTACAGCCAGGAGAGCCCTAGCTGGGATTCAGAAAGAGAGAGTGCGCCCATGCAGGCTCCTCAAATCCAGCCAGCCACGATTCAGCTCCAGAGAGGCTGGCCCAGAGAAGCAAAGAGGCTTGGCTGTAGCTGTGTGTCCGGAATTGGCGGGTTCTCAGTCTCACTGACTTAAAGAATGAAGCCGTGGACCTTCGCGGTGAGTGTTACAGTTCTTAAAGGTGGCGTGTCCGGAGTTTGTTCCTTCTGATGTTAGGATGTGTCCGGAGTTTCTTCCTTTTGGTGGGTTCGTGGTCTCGCTGGCTCAGGAGTGAAGCTACGGACCTTCGCGGTGAGTGTTGCAGCTCTTAAGGCGGCGCGTCTGGAGTTGTTCGTTCCTCCTGATGGGTTCGTGGTCTCGCTGGCTTCAGGAGTGAAGCTGCAGACCTTCGCGGTGAGTGTTACAGCTCTTAAGGCAGCGCGTCTGAAGTTGTTTGTTCCTCCTGGTGGGTTGGTGGTCTCGCCGGCTTCAGGACTGAAGCTGTAGACCTTCGCGGCGAGTGTTACAGCTCATAAAAGCAATGTGGACCCAAACAGTGAGCAGCAGCAAGAGTTATTGCAAAGAGCAAAAGAACAAACCTTCCACAGTGTGGAAAGGGACTCCAACGGGTTGCTATTGCTAGCTTGGGCAGCCTGCTTTTATTCTTATCTGGCCCCACCCACATCCACTGATTGGTCATTTTACAGAGAGCCCAGTGGTCTGTTTTGACAGGGCGCTGATTGGTGCGTTTACAATCCCTGAGCTAGACTCAAAGGTTCTCCACGTCCCCACTAGATTAGCTAGATACAGAGTGTGGACACAAAGGTTCTCCAAGTCCCCACCAGAGTAGCTAGATACAGAGTGTGGATTGGTGCATTCACAAACCCTGAGCTAGACACAGGGTGCTGATTGGTGTGTTTACAAATCTTGAGCTAGATACAGAGTGCTGATTGGTGTATTCACAATCCCTGAGCTAGACATAAAGGTTCTCCAAGGCCCCACCAGAGTAGCTAGATACAGAGTGTGGATTGGTGCATTCACAAACCCTGAGCTAGACACAGGGTGCTGATTGGTGTGTTTACAAACCTTGAGCTAGATACAGAGTGCTGATTGGTGTATTTACCATCCCTTAGCTAGACATAAAGGTCCTCCAAGTCCCCACCAGACTCAGGAGCCCAGCTGGCTTCACCCAGTGGATCCCGCACCGGGGCCGCACGTGGAGCTGCCTGCCAGTCCCGCGCCATGCGCCCGCACTCCTCAGCCCCTGGGTGGTCGATGGGACTGGGCGCCTTGGAGCAGGGGGCGGCGCTCGTCGGGGAGGCTCCGGCAGCGCAGGAGCCCACGGAGGTCGGGGCGGGCGGGGGGAGGGGGAAGCTCAGGCACGGCGGGCTGCAGGTCCCGAGCCCTGCCCCGTGGGAAGGCCCTAAGGCCCGGCGAGAAATTGAGCACAGCAGCTGCTGGCCCAGGTGCTAAGCCCCTCACTGCCGGGGGCTGGCGGCGTGGGCCGGCCGCTCAGCGTGCGGGGCCCGCCGAGCCCACGCCCACCCGGAATTCGCGCTGGCCCGCAAGCGCCGCGCGCAGCCCCAGTTCCCGCCCGCGCCTCTCCCTCTACACCTCCCCACAAGCTGAGGGAGCCGGCTCCGGCCTTGGCCAGCCCGGAAAGGAACTCCCACAGTGCAGCAGCGGGATGAAGGGCTCCTCAAGTGCCACCAAAGTGAGAGCCCAGGCAGAGGAGGCGCCGAGAGCGAGCGAGGGCTGTGAGGACTGCCAGCAGGCTGTCACCTCTCAGCTGCACAGCTGGCTATTCAGTAGCAGAACTGAGACCCAAGAGCAGGTCTTCTGGGAAGCAACAGGGTATGAGCGTTAAGAACTTGGGCTTTAGAGGCAGACACGCTTGTTTCAAATTTCCTCTTGCCTTTTGCTAGCTGTGTGGCCGTGTGTATGTTTATTGAGTTCTGAGCTTCAGTTTCCTCACCTGGAGAATAGGGATGCCAGTGCCTGCATTCCAGAGAGATTGTGAGTGGATCCTGTTACAGCGTCAGATATGTGGTGGGCACTCAGTAATGTCCAATCTGATCACTGTTATGCTGACACCAGAGTCTGCTGCTACACAGACTCACACAGGCATCATTCAATCATCCGGGGTCTGTTTCTTCCTCTCTCTGTCTCCCTTGGCCCCTCTATCACTGTCCTGTGTCTCTCCTTATCTCTTTGTGTGTCTCTATGTATCCCACTGTGTTTTCCCTGTTGGTCTGTGTGTGTTAAAGGATCTCTGTCTCTCTCTCTCCGTGTGTCTTTGTAAGTGCATTTCCCTCTGTGCATCTGTGGGACTGTCCACTTCTGAGTGTGTATCTATTTCCAAATATTCTTGTCTCTTTGTGCTTGTTTCTGTGTCTTCACCCAGCCCTCTCTTTCTCTCCATCTCTATTTTTCTTTTCTTTCCTCCCTCTGTATCTCTCTGTCCCTCTCTTTCTTTCTTTGTCTCTGTTTCTCAAGCTCTCCATGTGCCTCTGTCTCTCACCCGCTCTTCTCCTCAAAACCAGAAGTGACCCAGCCGACTCTCACAGTTCATTACAAGGAAAACATTGAACAATCATTCTTTGCTCGTGCAAGGAGCTCGACAGCTGGAGCAAACAATGGGAAATTCAGAATTAATTGGGTGCTGATTATTTGCCAAAGGAAAAAAAATGGGGAAATGTATATGAAACAGAAGACAACCTAGCAACAGTGAAAACCTCAGCACGCAGCAACAAAAGCAAGCCTAATGAAGCATGACAATGCCTGCGCAGGGCCGACAGCCGGCCACCGCATACTGAGAGGGAGGAGAACAAATGTGAGCACTGCCCTGGAGCCAAGCGAGGCCATTCTGGGGCACTTGGGGTCCTCAACAGCCACAGGCTCCCAGAAACTGTGTGTTGAAGAGCCCAGCAATCCCAGTCCCATGCCACACACATGGGCCCCCCATTTACTCAGTCCCCATAAAAGCATCTCATAAGCTCATAAGCACCTGCCTTGGCACTGAGGAGGTAAACATGATCCAGGCAGGGTCTCCATGCTCAAAGAATGCCCAGTTCAGCCTGGAGGGGAGAGCACACAGACAGGCAGCTGCAATCTATTCCAAGAGCTGCAGCAGAGCCGCCGCAGAGCCTAGAGCACCTGCACTAAGTTTGCACACAGGGTGAGAAGGATTCAAAAAGGGGCTAACACTCCAGCAGAGTCTGGGAAGAGGAATAGAAGTTTGTCGGGTAGGGAAGGAAGGACAAGCATAAAATGCAGGAGGAGCAGCATGTGTGAAGACACTGAGGGCAAAAGGGCACAGTGTGTCCAGAGGACATCGAGAAACCAGGGTTCAGGTGCTTCCTCTAAAGCTTCAATACAGAGCTGCCATATGACCCCAGCAGTTCCACTCCTTGGTATATACCCAAGGGATTTGAAATAAGAGACTCAAGTCCTTGTCCATGACTGTTTATTGCCAGCACTATGCACAATGGCAGAGGTGGAAACAACACAAGTGTCTGTTGATGAACGAATGGATAAACTAAATGTGGTGTGTCCGTGCTATGGAATATTATTATTATTTTACTTTAAGTTCTGGGATACATGTGCAGAACGTGCAGGTTTGTTACATAGGTATACATGTGCCAAGGTGGTTTGCTGCACCTACCAACCCGTCATCTAGGATTTAAGCCCTGCATGCATTAGGTATTTGTCCTAATGCTCTCCCTCCCCTTGCTCCCCACCACCCCCGACAGGCCCCGGTGTGTGATGTTCCCCTCCCTGTGTCCATGTGTTCTCATTGTTCAACTCCCACTTATGAGTGAGAACATGTGGTGTTTGGTTTCCTGTTCCTGTGTTACTTTGCTGAGAATGATGGTTTCCAGCTGCATCCATGTCCCTGTAAAGGACATGAACTCATTCTTTTTTATGGCTGCATAGTATTCCATGGTGTATATGTGCCACATTTTCTTTATCTAGTCTATCATTGATGGGCATTTGGGTTGGTTCCAAGTCTTTGCTATTGTAAACAGGGCTGCAATATATATACGTGTGCATGTGTCTTTATAGTAGAATGAATTATAATCCTTTGGGTATATACCCAGTAATGAGATTGCTGGGTCAAATGGTATTTCTGGTTCTAGATCCTGATGGACTATTATTTGGCCACAAAAAGGACGTATTGATTCATGCTACAATATGGACGAGCCTCAGAAACATCATGCTAAGTGAAAGAAGCTAGATGCAATAGGTCACATATTGTATGCTTTCATTTATATGAAATGTTCAGAATAAGTGATTCCATAGAGACAGAAAGCGTGTTAGTGGTTGCCACATCCTGGGGAGTGGGAGAAGAATGGAGAATGCCTGCTAGTGGATATGGGATATCCCTGTGGGGTGATGAAATGTCCTGGGGCTGGATGGAGGTGATGATTGTACAATATCACAAATGTGCTGGATGTCAGTGAATTGTACACTTTCAAAATGGTTAACAGTTAATATCACATTATGGGATTTTTATCCCAATAACATTAAATAAAAATAATAAGATCAAATTAAAATAAAAGTGAAGGGGCCAGGCTCAGTGGCTCACACCTGTAATCCCAGCACTTTGGGAGGCCAAGGCGGGTGGATCATGAGGTCAGGAGATCAAGACCATCCTGGCCAACATGGTGAAACTCCGTCTCTACTGAAAGTACAAAAATTAGCTGGCCGTGGTGGCACATGCCTGTAATCCCAGCTACTCGGGGGGTTGAGGCAGGAGAATCACTTGAACCAGGGAGTCAGAGATTGCAGTGAGCCGAGATCGCGCACTGCACTCCAGCCTGGCGACAGAGTGAGACTCTATCTCAAAAAAAAAAAAAATGGTGAAGGAATCACAACTGAGGTTTAGCAGACAGGTGGGAAATGGGGCAGAGCCAAATTGCCAAGGGTTTTAAATGCCATTGTTTTCGCCTTGTTAGTGATGAGGGGATCTTCGAACATCCAACCAAAGGAGGGATGTCAGCTCACATATGTGCATCAGTATCTCCTAGGGTTGCAAACAGGAGGGACTGGAAGCAGTTCAGTAGAGACGGTGAGACCCAGCAGGAGGCTGATGCCAGATGGGAGCGTTTAAAGGGAGAGTCCCAGAGGTGGGTGAATTACAGGCACATTTGACAAATGTGCACTGACGATTCCATAGGAATGAAGGCTTGCACCCAGAAAAAAGCCCTTCATGAAGCCTCAAGAAAGCAAGGTCCCTGCCTTAGGGGGGTCTTGGCAAGCTATTCATTGTGTCTCCCTAAAACCCTGGTTCCGGGTTCCTGGGGAGAAGAGATCAGGTACCTGAAGCCTGAGTCCTTTGCCTCAGTAGCCAGGCTGCTCTGGGAAGAGCCAAGACGAGTAGCAGCCAGGGTGTGTGTCCCAACATTAGCAGCTAACTCCAGGAGAAGTGTCCATCTCAGAGATTTCCACTCCCTCTGCGGCCGGCCTCCAGGTCTGTGCTTTAAAGATTTGTTTTAATTAGATCTGTCTCAGTCAGAGGCATTGAGAATTATCTCCACCTCAGCTTGCTCCTTTCCTTTGCTTCTTTCCTATTGACTTTCAGAAACTCTGCCAACTACATTAGGGCTTTGATTATTTTTTCATAAAAGAAAAACCAACGCAAGTTTTTAGAAGCAAGGAGCCTGCCCCTCTGGAGAGTCGAAAGGCGGATGCAGGGTAGGTCCTGGGCTGACGCATCTGATATTTTAGGACACCACTCCCAGCCTCCCACAAACTGGCCCTAACCCAAGTGTATCCTCAGCTTTGATCAGGACTGGAACTACTGGAGGTTCCTGGCATAGGCCAAATCTGAGGGTGGCAGGAACCAGAAACCAGGTACATCTGCCACCACACACCAGGCAGCTGCAGGGGGCACCAGGAAAAAGGATAGGGAGGTGGGCAGGGGCCTGGGACAGACTGGCTAGGGGTCAGAGGTAGCAGGGCAAGGCATTGGAGCATGACAGAGGGGGTCCTGGGGCTGCAAGCAAGCTGATCATTGCTAAAGTGAGCCCTATCTATCCATCAATCCACCAATGTACCCATCATCCGTCCATCAATTATCCACCCATCATTACTTTATCATTTCATGGACACTTCCAGCCATTCAACCATTCTTTTACCACGTCATTTCCACACATCTATCCAAATTACTATCTACCACATGCCCATGCTGTGCTGGTAACAGGGCCTTATCCTAGCAGGAGAACACCTTGGAAGATCAAAATACAAATAGTCTAGGACCATGGGATAAGAAGTTTCCAGGTGCCCAGAGGAGCTAAAAGATGCACAAACTTTGAGATCAGACAAAGACAGAAGAAGCCCAGAGTCTTAGAGGAAGTAGAGTTAGATTTCTCGCTCCTGAGGTGGGGCTGCAGGTCCTCACACAAGGTCAAACCTGGACCAGCAAAGAGTTCCCTGACATTGCATCCCAGAACAGGTGGTGAAAGCTCTCAAACCCCTCCTAGCTGGGCCCATCATTGATCCTCAACCCTTCACAGTTGCTGAGCTGCAGGTGGGATGAAGGCTGGAGTCCCGGCTGAGATGTGGTCAGACTTTGGGACAAGAGAGAGGCAGGGACTGAGGCTCAGGGGTGCCAGACTTGGAGTGCCGCCACCTTAATGGTGGTCAGTGCTGGAGCTTCATCCTCTGCAGCATCATGATGCTGGCTAGGGGCAACTCGGGGTTCAGAAGCTACTCACGTGCTCTGCTTGCGAGGGCCCTTCTTACTAACAGTGGAGGTAAGGCCAGCAGAAAGCCATGTCCAAGGTCTTATTTGCCCAGCTTGGGAGTCTTGGCCTCAATTTGCTTACGATTGAAGAAGTCAAAAACCGAGGAGGCCCTAAGTAGGTCCTTCCTGATTTCAATCTGTTCTTAACTCAGTATCCAGAGGGAAATGTCCTTCCAGAAGTGATGCAATGCTCAGAAGAGGGGCGACTCCCCAAGCTCCTCCGTGTACTCCAGGATAGTCTGAGTTCACGACAACTTGACAGAGTGCAGCCCGGGGGTCTGGCAGGGTGCGTAGGGTTGTGGGAGAAGCAGAGCCAGTGTAGAAAATGGAACCTGGGCTGAGCGCAGTGGCTCACACCTATAATCCCAGCACTTTGGGAGGCCAAGGTGGGCAGATCACGAGGTCCAGAGATCAAGACCAGCCTGGCCAACATGGTGAAACCCTGTCTCTACTAAAAATATGAAAAATTAGCCGGGTGTGGTGGCACACACCTGTAGTCTCAGCTACTCAGGAGGTTGAGCCAGGGGAATTGCTTGAACCAGGGAAGCGGAGGCTGCAGTGAGCAGAGATCGTGCCATTGCACTCCAGCCTGGGTGACAGCGGAAGACTCTGTCTCAAAAAATAAAATAATAAAATAAAATAAAATAGAAAATGGAACCTTGTATTGGATATGTTGCTTATTCAGAGCCATTTAGTTAGTGACCCAAACAGATGGAAACAGGAATCCTGACTCCAACCCCCTGCTCTGAGGTGCATTGTGCCACCTCCTGAGGATATATGTGAGCAGAGAGAAAACACAGAACTCTAGTGACTAGAAGGGAGTCCAGAGAGTGGGGCTGGGAGTCAGGTGGGTGGGGGCACCCACATCTCAGGCTTGAACAAGCCAGCAACCTCCATCTGGAAGGATGATGTATTCAGTATACTAATTTAGAGGTTTATCTGTTAGAGATTTACCAATAAATTCTATCTTTCCTTCCCTCTCGAGAATATTTGAAGCATCTTCTGTCCCCATATTCTCTCAAAACCAAGTGCATGGCAGCCATTCAATACCCCTTCGCGAATGCCACCCACGGTGTGGTCTTTAAATCAGCATCAAACTGAACACTTTGGCAGCTCCCTGCAGACCCCCTCCTGGCTTAGCAACTGCAGCAAAGAGAGCTTCCCTTCTCCCACAGTTCCAACACAACCGAATCTCATTGAGCCTCCTTGGATCACCTACCTGCCTGTTCCTGAGTGGCTCGTGGCCATAGGAAAGGAGCATACAAGAATCAGTGAGGGCTGAGCCTCAAGACCATCCCTGAAAGTGGGGGGAGATGTCACCCTAACTAATGTACTGAGAGAAGAGGGGGCAAAGTAAGGTGCTGTGGCCAGAAGAAAGGGGAGTGGGTGCAGGCAAAACTACCCGCTATGCCCCACAGAGGCGCACGGGTTTCAGGGTCCTGACCAAGCATCGGGAGCCCAGTGGAACTCGAGCCTCTGCCATCCTGGTTTGGTTCTGATAGAGTTCCATGAACCATCCCTGTCCTAAGTACAAAGCCCCAGAAGTGAGATCAGATAAAGCTTTAGGCGTGCTCAGAACCAAAAGGGAGCGAGGGAGAGAAAAGAGCTCCCAGATCCCTTGTGTGCCTCCTCTTTGAACAAAAACCTCAGAACCCATACAAGCCACCAGCTTACTCCCCACCAGCCAGAGGGCTGGCCACTGCCACCTACATTGCTGATGGGCAAGAAGAAACAGCCCTCCCCTTCCCAAAGAGAAGGAGTTGTTGCAATTCGGGAAGTCTCGGTGAAGCTATAAGAAAAGGTCACAGTGGAATAGATGATGGAGGTTGAAAGAATGCCCGTGTCTTTGGAGATTGGACCTGCAACACAGCCTTTTGATTTTCTTTTTAATCATCAGTCTCTAATTCTGGGACATAAAATTACAAGCTCATTGATAATGATCAGTGACTTACCGGAGAAAGCCCAGCGCTAATTAAGAGCAGAAAAAGCTGACACTGCTTTTCAACTTTCACCGAAGCCCAGCAATGAAATTACCTGGTTCTGCGGAGAAAATAACACCAGCAGGCATGGAGGGGGCCTGGGTTACCTGATTAACGTGTGCTTGGCCCAATTAATACACAGAGAGAATTCCTTTGAGTGTTAGCAGTTTGCAGGTAATTGGGGCATTGATGGACGCTGGGAAAAGCAGCCGAGCTCGTGCATGAACACAGAGCCTGTGTCTGCTGTTACATAAAGAGAGATTTGCAAAGTCCATAGACGACTCTCCCAGTAGCTGCCCAGGGGTCAAGAGTCAGTGTGTAGCCAGGGTCTCAGTCTTTGATAAGAGTCAAAGGTCAGAGCTCAGGGTTTGGTCAAGGTTAGAGATCAGTGTGTGGCCAGAGAGAGGTGAGTCTACATCCAGGATGGGGGACGGAGTTTTTCTGTGCCTGGGATGAGGGACTCAGGCTCGGTCTATCTCTCCCATCGTATCTTCTGTACCTCCCTGCCTGTCTTCTCATGCCGCAGCAGACTCTCTTCTCCTATGTGTTTCTCATCTCTTGGTGTAGCTTCTTTCCTCTGACTCCAGACATAAGAGGAGTTTGACATTGACCTCCCAGCCTTTGACTGTATAAAGAGACCGCTTAAGGCACTTTGAGTTAGAAGCTCAGACCGCTTGAGAGCTATGGCATCCCTGAAGCATGTCATGACCCTCCTTGGAGTCAATGCCAGGGAATGGCAGAAGGGCAGGTTGTATAGCTTCCACCGGGGAACTCCCTTCCCCAGTCCTGTAGCCCTGAGCACAGGCTACCAACAGGGCTCTTGGCTCCCAATGCTCCTTGTCAAGACACTGATGAGATCGACAGAGCTGCCTTTTGATCATGTCAATGGTTCAGCTCAGCCTAAGTGATGGACTCTTCAATGCCATCCTCATAGTGGTCTTCTCAGGACAGTTCTAGGGATTCATTCTAGGAAGGAGGACCTGGTGCTTTAAGCCAGACAAAATGCTAGGGAAGGAGTTGATGCTTTGCTCAGCACTCCTGATGCTCATTTTCTGGTGGAGTCTTCCTTGAGGTGCCCAGCCTGGAACTGAATGGGGTGCCACACACATCTTACACTAGCAGTAGGGTAACCAATTGTCCTGATTTGCATGGGACTGGGGAGTTTCCTGGGACAAGAGACTTTCAGTGCTAAAACTGGGAGAGTCCCAGGGAAATTAGGATGGTTGGTCACCCTAGATTCACGGGAATATTGGCTCATCTTATCCCTGGAGCCTTGGACAGGCTGGTGCTGAGGGTGTTGTCCTTCATTCTGTTGCTACCAAGGCTCACCAGTTTCAGCACCAGATGCTGGTGGTCTGGAGCCAGACACCATAAACATCTGTATCACTGCTTTCTCCTCTGAATCCACAGGATCAGAGATATCACCACAATGAGGAGAGAGTGGGAGGGAGAGAAATTCAGCTCCACAGGGTCTCTGAGAGGACTCACTGCAGAGCACCTGTAAGATACCCTCTGTGCACTTGCAGTTCACTAGGAGGAGCTGACCCCAGGGCTGCTGGAGTCCCTGCTCCATGAGTGGGAACTGATGCTTAATAAGAACCCAATTTTTACACTCTGCTGAAAAAGACCCAGGAAATATGAGGTACATTTATATTGCTTTCTTGCTTTAAAACACACATGCTGTCTTAGTCATCTCAGACTGCCATAACAAAATACCACAGACTAGGGAGGCTTAAGCAACAACAGACATTTATTTCTCACGGTTCTGGAGGCTGGAAAGTCCAAGATCAAGGTGTCAGCAGATTTGGATTTAATGAGGGCTCTTTTCCTGGCTTGCAGATGACTGACTTCTCACTGTGTCCTCAGATGGCAGGGGAGACAGACCACTGGCATTTCTTCCTACAAATACAATCACGTTCATTGGAGGTTAAGCTTCAACATATGGATTTTGGGAGGTCACAGACATTCAGTCCACAAAACACACACACACACACACACACACACACACACACACGACTCTCCTCAAATCCTAAGAGCAAGGCCAGGCAGGAATTACTGTCTCTACTTTGAATATAAAGTCACAGGCTCAGGAACCTTAAGGAACTTCCCCAAGGCCATTAATAATTACATGCTAATATTTTTTAAATATTTTTTTTTTGAGACAGAGTCTCGCTCTGATGCCCAGGCTGGAGTGCAGTGGTACGATCTCAGCTCACTGCAACCTCCACCTCCTGGGTTCAAGCAATTCTCCTGCCTCAGCCTCCAAGTAGCTGGGATTACAGGTGTGCACCACCACGCCCAGCTGGTTTTTGCATTTTTAGTAGAGATGGGGTTTCGCCATGTTGGCCAGGCTGGTCTCAAACTCCTGACCTCAGGTGAGGAGGCCTCCCAAAGTGCTAGGATTACAGGCATGAGCCACCGCACCAGGCCTTTTCTTATTATTTCTAAATTATCATGCTTGTAGCAGAGCCTGTCAACTTCCTACCTACATCTTCTCAGCTCTTGCCATTCCAGTCTCTGATGACTGTGTCCTGCTACAAGCACCTGGGCTCACCTCTCCCAGGTGCTGCCCTCAGCCATCACAGGTGGGAACTGGAGAATAAATACCACGGCTTCCTTGCCCCTCTGATATTTTACATGTTCTGTGCAGTCTTCTAGAGCTTCCCAGTGGGATGAACTGCCACTTCCCACGTGGTAACCTGATGAGTAACACACAGTTTGGCTCCCTTCCCTTCCCTGTGTCACCTCCCCTGTCCCCTATCTGAGCTCACCTCTTGGATAAACAGCTTGCACCCAAACCCTGTCTCAGTGTCTGCTTCTAGGGAATCACAAACTAAGACAATGTTTTTGAACAAAATTTGGAAATTATAAAATCCATACTCTGGTCGGGCGCAGTGGCTCATACCTGTAATCCCAGGACTTTGGGAGGCTGAGGTGAGTGGATCATGAGGTCAGGAGTTCGTGACCAGCCTGGCCAACAGGTGAAACTCTGTCTCTACTAAAAATACAAAAAATTATCCGGGCATGGTGGTGGGTGCCTGTAATCCCAGCTACTCAGGAGGCTGAGGTAGAGAATTGCTTGAACCCAGGAGGCGGAGGTTGCAGTGAGCCAAGATCGTGCCACTGCACTCCAGCCTGGGCAACAGAGCAAGATTCCATCTCAAAAAAAAAAAAAAATCCATACTCAATTCCACTCATAAAACATTTCAAGTGCTTGCCTACTATATACCAGTAGAGGATTAAATACCAGTACAGGATACCTAGTAAAGGATTAGAAATTAATAATAAGCAAGATAGACAATCTCTGACCTCATAAAGTTTATAGCCTAGAAGAAATAAAAAATCCTCTGTATCTTACTAACTAGAAATAATCATTGTTACTTTTTTCCATATATATATAAAATTCCAATCTTGCAATTATATACATGGACATACTTCTGGACATACTTACTAAACCTTTATCATACCAAATAGTTTTGAATCCAGTTTCTCATTACATTACAAGTATTTTTCCAGGTCTCTAATTACTCTTTTAAAACATTATTTGTAATGGCTATGAAATATTTTCGGATATGTACCACCATTTATTTAACCATTCCCCAATCGTTTCCAATGTTCCATGATTGCAGATAACATCACAATAAACCTTAAACAGTTTCCAGGCATGCTGTGGTATAATCAGATTAGCATTTTAGAAAAACCAGCTTGATATCTCTGGAGGCAGATTTGAGGCAGATGAAAGGAGAGAGACCAGTCAGAGCCATTCATAATATTTCAAGTCAGAGGCAGTGATGCCTAAATCAGGGTGGTGGTGGTGGTGGTACAGCAGGTGGAGGGGGATTTGGAAGTCAGGATAGGGCACCTGAGCAGCTTCTCCAGCTCCATTCACAATCTCTCATCATCACTTTGGAGCTTGTATGTTCTTTACTTGTCTCATTCGTCTTGACTTCCCTACTTAATTGGCAGTGCCTTTGTTACCAAGCAAAGGGGGCTCACTGCCTGATGCACTAGAAGTCAATACTATGACACCAGATTTTTGAGAAAAGAAAACCTTTTTATTGCAAGTGGACCAACAAGGAGACAGGAGTCCAGCTCAAATCTGTCTCCCTGGGCCAGCTTTAGGGCAGCAGTTTTGTTAGAAAAGGTTTAGGGAATGGATTCTAGGATTGGTGGGTGACTGGTGGAAGGAAATGGGAGGCTGGAAAGTCCTCTGGCATGCACAGTTATCTCTTCATACTACTTCCTGGATCGCACGTGCACATTCAGGGGGAGTAAGTATGAAGCATGCAGTGGAATTTGAGGTGGTGACATTAGCAAGCTCATTCTGCGCAAACTCCAGTCAGCCGTATTGGTTTTCACCGATTTCAGCCAGTTCTGTTATCCTGCAAGGGAAGGGAGTTTCAGCATTGCTGTAAGTTTTTTCTTTTCTTATCTGCAGTCCTGCAAATTCAAGGATATCCGTTAGTCACTGGTTTCTTACTCTTTGGGGCACAGTTCTGTTTCAGCTGTTAGGCAACTGGTTTTTCATCTGCTATCCTGTAAGCCCAAACATTTAGTCATTCGTTTCTCTAACCCTTTGGGGCACGGTTTCACCTTCAAAGGAAAAGCTTATCTTGCCCTCCCATCACCATAAGCCTCACTACAGGTCTAGACACATCATCCTGAGATGAAATGCCCTACTTCCTTTGGTAAAAATAATTCTGGAGACATAATTTGGCTTCTTTTTTTTTTTTTTTTTTTTTTTTTTTTTTTTTTTTTTTGGAGATGGAGTCTCACTCTGTCACCCAGGCTAGAGTGCAGTGGCATGATCTCAGCCCACTGCAAGCTCCGCCTCCCGGGTTCAAGCGATTCTCCTGCCTCAGCCTCCCGAGTAGCTGGGATTACAGGCACCCGCCACCACGGCCAGCTAATTTTTGTATTTTTACTAGGGACGGGGTTTCACCATGTTGACCAGGCCAGTCTTGAACTCCTGACCTCAGGTGACCCGCCCGCCTGGCCTCCCAAAGTGCTGGGATTACAGGCGTGAACCACTGCACCCGGCCTAGTTTATATTCTTAAACTAGCCTTTAGGACACAGAAATGATAGGAAGTCCACCAATTTGCCTGCTTGCAGGATTAGGAGTCATCCAAGGGAGCCTCATAAGGTGGTGAGTGGAGCTGGTCATTGGAGTAGGAAAGGACTTGATCTTTCATTGGACCCAGGATATGTCAATCACCTCCACTCTGCCAATGAGCCATGGTCTGGAGGATGCCCTGGCATTGGACCTAAGAGATGTCAATCATCTCCACTCTGCCAATGAGCCATGGTCTGGAGGATGCCCTGCAGGATATGTCAATCACCTCCACTCTGCCAATGATCCATGGTCTAGGGGATGCCCTGGGAGTCAGCAATGGAAATGTGGAGCTTGATGCTCCTGGAGCCACTGCCATCAAACTGACTCCAGGGTGGTGACAGTGGGCCAGGGCAAGAGCAGGCTTTCTAGAACCTTCCCAAGGGAGGCAACTGTGAGCTTCGGATAAGCATATAAAACCCAGACTGAGTAGAGATTTTCGGCCTCAGGGAGGCCAGGAGCTAAGGGGATTTTTGTCAAGAGCATTAAGTAGCAGTAAAGTGTAAGTTCAGCAAAGCCCAGAGCATCGAAGAATACCATTCATTTCCTGAGCGCCGACACGCAGCAGGCACTGTGCTGGGGGCTGGGGACACAGCGGTGAACGACAGAGGCATGCCCCTGCCCTCGTGGGGTTTACAGTCTATACAAGCAGGTTGACATGGAGAGAGGAGACCGGGGGGCAGGCACCTCCCTGTAAATGATCTCATGTCATTCCCTCGCAGCCGTCCTATGAAATAGTGCTATCATGGTTCCCATGTTACAGGTTCACAAGTTGAGGCTCAGAGAGGTTACGTTAACCAGCCCAATATCACAGCTGGTGAGTGATAGGGCCAGGATTTGAACCAAGATATAGCTAACTCCAGCTGTCTCCGCTGCCTTCTACTAGAATCATGGTTCTCCATTAGAGGCCATGTTTTCCCCCAGGGTAGTATTAGGTACAGCCTGGAGACATTTTTAGTTGTTCACAACTAGGGGAGGGGAGTGCTACTGTTTATCTAGTGGGTGGAGGCCCGGGATGCTGTCAAACAGCCTGCAATGTCCAGGACAGCCCCACGCAACAATGAATTACCAGACCCACGATGTCAATAGCACACAGGCTGGCAAACCCTGGACTACAATGTGAGCCATGAATACCCATGAGTGGGAGTTTGTGTCTCCCTGACCATTCTCAGAACCTGTCTGAATGCACAGCCAGTCAGACCAGTGGATCTGACTGCGATCCTCTGGATATGGTCAAGGCCAAGAGAAGCCAACTCCAGGCCCCAGGCCAGAACATGAGCCCAGGCAGACACAGAGAGGGCAGGCGCAGGATAAATGCCCCAGATGCCTGATAAGTAATGCCGGCGGGAGGGACAGGAGGTGGGGTGCCGAGAACAGCTTCCAGGGCAACTGCCCTCCTCCCACCCTCCCCACAAGATGCTTGTCCTCAGCAGCAGACGCACCAGCTCCTCGAAGGATACAAAATACAAGCAGAGCTTGGATCTGCTTGCTCTCCCTGGACAGCCCTGAACTAATATTTGTTTTAGCAAATGGCTGAGCTGTTCATCTTCTCTGGCAATAGGGATTTGTTTTCTTTTCAAAAACTCACTGGCATTCTAAGTCTAAGAAGCTGACCTCCAGAAGGCCAGAGTCTACGTTAAGGCTCAAAGCACAGTAGAGCACCCTCTGTGATGAAGAGGCAAGAGCAGAGGGACATGGAGGTGAAGCTGGCTGCGGTCCTACTGCGTGCCAGATTTTCTATGCATCATCTCATTCACAAGAGCCCTAAGAGAGAGAGGTTGATTTTTGTTGCTGTTGTTCCATTTTTGAGAGAAAACTTAAAGTAAGAGAGGGTGGACAACTTGTCCAAGGTCCCACAGCTTGTGAGGGATTTAAACACCCAGGTGTCTGATTCTAAAGCCCCCCACATCTGCAAGTCAATGCTGCATCAGCACTAGAGGCTTGTCAGCAGAGCAGAGACCTCATACCTCTCTTTGTTGGGACAGAGAAGCATCACTAGGGAGCAGGAAAGTGGAGAGCCAGGTCAGCAGAAGAGCCCCAACAGAGCCTGATCTGCCAGGACTCTTTATGGCACAAGTCAAAAAAAAGCAACTCAAACTGACCTAAGCAATATAAGAATGTATCAGCTCATGAACTTGGAAGTCCTTGAGGTAAGGCAGACTTCAGGATGGGTTGGATTTGGTCATTCGATAATCCCATCGAGGAGCTGGTGCCTTCTGCATCTCCCCTCTGCCTTCTCTAGTGTCAGCTTACCTCGTGGTGGCAAAGGGCTGCAGCAGCTCCAGGTCCCTTCTATATCCCAAACCTTTGAGAAAGAGGAGCTAGCCTTCTGTAGATCTCTCAGGCCCATGAGCAACCGTCTTTCCCATAACCCACCTCTCCTTAGAGTCAATGGTCTGATTTGGACCACAGGTCCATTCCTGAACCAATCTCCTCATCAGAAGGCCTGGCACCCACCAGCTTATGCCTGGGTTAGTAGAAGGAGACACTGTAGCAGGGAGAAACCAATCAGCTTCCTAATCTTAACCATCTTATTTCTAAAAAGAAATCAGAATCAATGCTTAGAACTAGGGTTGGGGTAGATAACTCAAAAATGACATGGCCTTTTCACATAACTGTTGCACCCACAAGCAAAGAATGGAGGAGCCGTCGGAGAGGGAACCACCTGGTCTACCACAAGCACCAAGTAAACCAGTTTCTGTTTGGAGTCAGGCTAGGGGATGGGCCAGTTGGCCAGTATATATATATATATATATATATATATATATACACATATACAGCGAGAGAGAGAGAGAGAAAGACTGTAGTGGATTATAATTCATAAAATAAAATAAGTATCCACAAGCTAATGCTGATATAATAAAAACATGAATAAATAAATAAATAGGAAAAAAAGGAAAGTTCTCCCTTACAACCTTACAATGAAATTCCAACTAATAAAAATAGAAGGAATGATGGAAATAGAAAATTACCATTTGGCAAACACCATAGTAATAATTGTTTCCATCAAGAATCATCCGGCCAGGCGAGGTAGCTCACGCCTGTAATCCCAGCACTTTGGGAGGTCAAGGCGGGCGGATCACCTGAGGTCAGGAGTTCAAGACCAGACTGGCCAAAATGGCAAAACCCGGTCTCTACTGAAAATACAAAAATTAGCCCACGTGGTGGTGTGCGCCTGCAGTCCCAGCTACTTGGGAGGCTGAGGCAGGAGAATTGCTTGAACCAGGGAGGCGGAGGTTGCAGTGAGCCAAGATTGCGCCATTCTACTCCAGCAATGGTGAGAGAGCAAGACTCTGTCTCAGAAAAAAAAAAAAAAAGCATCGTCCATGAATGCTAACATCAGTGGGAAAGTATATGAAGAGGGGCAGGATACTTACATAATCTCCAAGTATCAATGGAAAAATTGTAACTTGACAATGGAGAAACCTGGTAGACTTATTCTTATCAAATAATCAAAGTTAACATAAGCCATAAAGGGACATTCAATGTTAGGTTTCTCCTGATAGAAAGCACTGAGAAGGACATAAGATCACTTCTGTGGTCTTCTTGCCAAAAATGCATAGCCTGAATTCCTCACGAGGAAACACTATAGAAACCCAAACCAAGGAACATTGTACCAAACAGTTTGCCCGTATCCTTCAAAAGTGTCAAGGTCATGAATGACAAAGACTAATCAAAGGAAACTAAGGAGCTGTGACAACTAAAGGCAACGTAAGATCCTGAATTGTATTCTGGACCACAGTAAAGACATGAATGGAACCA
Organism: Homo sapiens; assembly: GCF_000001405.40. Lineage (NCBI taxonomy): Eukaryota > Metazoa > Chordata > Mammalia > Primates > Hominidae > Homo > Homo sapiens. The sequence continues at coordinate 5,755,249 of NC_000017.11, read as the reverse complement.
CTGGAAAAATTTGAATAAGGTCTACAGTTTATATAATAATACTGTATCAATCAGTGTTAATTGCCTGATTTTTATAATTGTATTGTGGTCGTGTATGATGTTAACATTTAGGGACTCTGGGTGAAAGGTTCATGGAAATATTGTGCTACTTTTGCAGTTTTTTTGTAAGTCTGGAATGGTTCTAAAATAAAAAGATTTTAAAAATTTAAAAATTAACTTTTCCCCAAATTATCAGAAATGTCCAATATTCAAACATATTTGCTATACAGTATCACAATTAAAAACTCCTCTATCACTCCCAGATGGTTAATAAAATGCTGTAACACCCTATTCCTTATGCTAGTGTCCTTTGGAGAAACCAGTTTTGGTCTGACAGGTATGAGAGTGAGATTGAAGGTCAGGACCGGGAGAAATGGAAGTTCTCCCCAAATCCCCAGAGATCTGGAGGCATGACATTTGTATTCCCCACCATATGTAGGATGGAGACTGAGCCCCCGTTTTTGCCAAATAAAGAACAGAGTGGCCCCATGGAAATGTGGAACTTGTATAGACCCAGGTGAGGAAAAAGTGCTAACATAAAGAATTGGTAGGACTTGGTGAGCAGGTGATATTGTAGGTGAGGAAGAGCCTGGCAGGGCTGTCCCCATCACCCATGAGCTGATGACTGAGCTGAGCTGACTTAGACAGAACTGCCACTTATGCAGAGAAGAAGAAACTGACTCAGTTTCATAGAAAGGGTTCAGTAAGCTGAACCCCTACTATAAGTCATTTACTGAAAAATAAGGACAAAAATAGGAAATTGTTTCATAAAAGAAGAGGAATAAGCCATGTTTCCTAGGATTCCGCAGAGGGAGGAGTTAGTACAAAAGGCGAATAGCAGAAAGGGGAAGGAGATCAGGGAAGATTGCAAGAAGGAAGTAGCATTTGGTCCAGAACTTGAAAAAAAAGATTCTGACAGATAGAAGGAAACACTAAGGTGGTCACTTCAGGTTCAAGAGACAGAAAATACACCTACCTGAAAAATAATCTCTCTCTCTCTCTTTCTTTCTTCTCCCACACCCCTCCCCCACCCCCCAGTCCAGGTATTCTTCTATTCCTTAAGGCAGAGAGACATTTCAGGAGGCTGCAAGGCAAAGGGCTGTGAGCCGAGACTCTCCCTCAGATGAGATCAGGAAAGCCCATTGCCTTTCTCCAGAAAATCCACTGTGGCAGCCAGGAGATAATTCCCAAGCCAACTAATATCCATCTCAGAGCAGATACCCTCAGGGACAATGAAAGCCTGTCCTTGGCCAGCTTCTCTGCAGCTCACCTCCAAGTCTCAAGCGCAGCTGGTTTGAGTGAGGGTCCCTGTAGGACGAAGCCAAAGTCCTGGAACCAAGGACTGAAGCCAGGACTCCTCACCCTGTCAGATTCCACCCACCCCCAATCCCCAGCTTCTCCCCAATGACTAAGAACCAAGGGCTGAGCTCTGACCTCCGCTCAGCCTTCCAGTAGGAAAGACCATGAAAGAGACAGGGACAAAGACAAAGACAGAACTGGGTGGGGGAGATAATGAGAGAGAGAGGACATGGAGGAGACAGGGAGAACCAGAGTGACCCAGGCAGAGCCAGAGGCATGGCAGCAGGGACAGAGAGCAGAGAAGAGCTACAGACTCTGACATATGGGGACAAAGACAGGGCCACCGATAAGGACAGAGATAGAGCAAGTGAGCAGAGGAGAGAGCAGGGGAGAGGAGGGTGAGGGAAGAGAGATGGAGGAGGAAGAGGGAGGGAAGCAGAGGGGAGAGGAGCAAGACAAGCAAGGTGATGGGGCAGAAACAGAATCAGACATCGAGGAAAAGACAAAAACTCTGAGAATGAAATAAAATGATGGGGGCCGGGGGATATTTTTTGAAAGAAGGGTGAAGTTAGACCAGGCAATCTGTAAATCTCTGTGTCCAAGCCAGTCTTTCTAGGACTTAAAAGGAGGGGAAAGAGGAGAAGACAAAAGAAAGTGTTAGAGAAAAGAGGAAAGAGGAAGGCAAGGGCTGAAGAGAATTAAGGAGGAAGAGAGGGAGGAGATGTCAAGAGAAGGAAGAGGCAAGAAGAGAGAGGAGAGGCCGGGCGCGTTGGCTCACTCCTGTAATCCCAACACTTTGGGAGGCCGAGGCGGGCGGATCACCTGAGGTCAGGAGTTCAAGACCAGCCTGGCCAACATGGCGAAACCCCCGTCTCTACTAAAAATACAAAAAAAAAAAAAAAAAAATTAGCTGGGCGTGGTGGCAGGTGCCTGTAATCCCAGCTACTCGGGAGGTTGAGACAGGAGAATCGCTCGAACCCAGAAGGCAGAGGTTGCGGTGAGCCAAGATTACACCACTGCACTCCAACCTGGGTAACAGAGTGAGACTCCATCTCAAAAAAAAAAAAAAAAAGCAAGGAGAATGTCAGTCCCACAGAGAGAAAGGGAGTGAGAGAGTGCAAGGTAGGGAGGTAATGATGTCCAATAGATGCCTTCAGGATCCCAGGCACTGGGATCTGCAATGAGCATTTTTCAGCGGCCACAGGCACTGCCTCCAAGGAGTTTGAGTCCCAGGTCCCCACATCACAGGTGGAGTGATGGGGTTTGTGGGCCCCTGCAGATGGATCTAGGGATCTGGCCGCTACGGAGGGGACCCCCGCCGGCTCTTCCAGGGACAGCAGAACGTGGTGGCTGGCTTCCTTTTCTGACTTCCTTCTGCAGCTTTTCCCCCACACAGTTCTGTCTAGCACTTATTATTTTTAAATGAAAATGTATCAAAATTAATTTTATTTTGAGAATTATCTGAGAATTTCACAGCCCCTCTTGGGAACATCGGTGGTATCCTAGGGGAGCTGCAAACAGAACTGGGAATCCTTCTGAGGCAGACATGTGCCATCTGCCAGCTCCAGAACTGCTGCCACTGCCAAGAGTCCATAGTGTGGGCCCCTGGGAGGGTAGGGGGCTCTGAGTGATGCAAACTTCCACCCAGAGATAACACTCGAAATGTGACTAGCCCAGACTGGCACTCAGCCTATGGCTGTAGCAGCTTCATCTGCTGCTTCATCTGTGGCCAGGGTCATAGTTCAGGCAGAGCCCACTCTCTGAGGTCAAATCATAGTGTCACAAAAATTCTGGAAAAGTCTCTTCCTGGCCCAGCCTTCATTGCCTCCCCATCATCCCACATAGCTCAGGGCCCATCAAGACTGGTGGCCAAACCTGCCCCTGATCAGGTTCACACCACCAACCCCTGCTTGCTCCCCCGAACCTCCCAGACAACTCCTCCTCCTTGTCCCTGCCTCTCCCACTGCCACCACCTCCTAGAAATTCTGTAGTTTTACAAAATCAGATTTTCCCATGTGGAGAGACAACTAAAGACACTGTCACCTACAGACGTTCAAAGAGGACTGTTGGCTGGGTGTGGTGGCTCACGCCTGTAATCCCAGCACTTTGGGAGGCCAAGGCAGGTGGATTACCTGAGGTCAGGAGTTCGAGACCAGCCTGACCAACATGGTGAAACCCCGTCTCTACTAAAAATACAAAAATTAGCCAGGTGTGATGGTGCATGCCTGTAATCCCAGCTACTCGGGAGGCTGAGGCAGGAGAATTGCTTGAACCTGGGAGGCGGAGGTTGCCGTGAGCCGAGATCGAGCCATTGCACTCCAGCCTGGGCAACAGAGGGAGATTCCACCTCAAAAAATACAAAAACACAAAAATACAAAAAAATTAGCCAGGCATAGTGGCACATGCCTGTAGTCCCAGCTACTTGGGAGGCTGAGGCAGGAGAATTGCTTGAACCAGGAGGCGGAGGTTGCAGTGGGCTGAGATCGTGCCATTGCACTCCAGCCTGGGCAACAAGAGTGAAACTCCATCTCAGGAAAAAAAAAAAAAAAAAAAGACTCTTGTCTTGGACTGCCCAGGGTGCTATGCATGAACAGTAGCTGAAAACAAGCAGGTTCAAGGGCAGATCAGCTCACCATGTGCAGGCTGCATCCTTCTACCCCTGACAGGACACTAACAGTGGACAGCTATCAAGTGCCAAGTTTGTGCCAGGTGCTGTGCAGAGCCCTTTGTATTCACCACCTCATCTGATCCTTGCAACAACTCTGGGAGGTAGATGCTATTCTACCATCTCCCTTTTACAGCATAGGAAGCTGCAGCTCAAGAAGATGCATAAACTATCCAGGTGGCAAAATAAGCCATACCACTGCTGACACTGGAGGGGTGCAAGCAGGGAATGGCAGTCACTTTTCAGAGACCAAAGAAGGAATCCAAGCATCAAATGGGGAGTTTAACTTGATAGATTCTGAGGTCTCACTCAGCCCAACCTTCTGTGAATCTATGACCGAACATATCCCAGGCAAAGGGAGAAAAGACGTGCAGAGCTGATCATTAGTTCTCACAAGGAGGAGAGTCTTTGTACAGAAACTAACCTTTGTATGTGTTTGGTTTTGAAAAGAAAACCCTCTGTGTGTAACCTGGAAGACCTGGACTCAGATAAAGCTATGTATGGCTGATCTGCTCTGTGTGAAATATCCGAGAAAATAGAGAGGGTTGGGGGCACAGAGGCAGAGAGGAAGAAGAAGTCAATGGAGCCAGGAGCCCAACAAAACAAAAATACCAGTGGAAGTTACTTACATCCGGGAACAACCAAGAGGTATTCGTGAGCAACAATTTCTAATACCTATATTATGTTATTTACCATGCTACTCTCCAAGAAACTTCTTCCGTTGCCCCAACCTTTAGTAAATCAGGCTTCACACACAGCCTTGACCCGCTGGTAGTCTGGGGAGTAAAGAAGTTGGGAAATGCCCAGTGAGGTAATGTGCTATGCAGAGAGGCAATGCAGAATAGATAAGGAACAGAACATTCAGAAAAGCCATAGGATTGGTCAAGAACTCAGCAGACAGGAGGCCAAGGTGGGAGAATCACTTGAAGCTGGGAGTTCAAGACCAGCCTGGGCAACATAGCGGTATCTGTCTCTACAGAGCAATTTTTTTTTAATTTAACTGGTCAAGATGGTGCATACATGTAGTTCCAGCTACTCAGGAGGCTGAGGCAGGTAGATTGTTTGAGCCCAGGAGTTTGAGACTGCAGTGACCTTTGATCACTGTACTCTAGCCTGGGTAGCAGAGAGAGACCCTGTCACCCCACAAAAAAAAAAAAAAAAAAGGAACTCAACAGTGGCAAGGCTTAGAAAGTGCATGGAAGAATCCTTGCAGTATTGAGAGAGATACCGAGTTTTCCATTGCACACGGGATGAATTTCTGGCCTCAAGATGCTAGACCACGCTGCAGATGACCTACCAATAGAAATCAATAATTTCTATTGATAATTAGCTGCCTAAATGAGTTCTTTTCATTTTCAGGAAATTCTTGACATAATGTTAGCATCTTCAGGTAGCCTCAAATGTGAAATGAAATTCTGGAAGTGAGCAGACCACAGCAGGGGAGATAATGGATCACATTTTCTAGATATCAGTTTCTATTAGTTGCAAGCAGAGGTTTATATTGCAAATGGGATTTGTCCATGAGGAGACAACATGCGGTGCAGTGAAATTGGGTTTTCTTTTTTTTTTTTTTTTTTTTTTTTTTTGATATAGAGTCTCACTCTGTTGCCCAGGCTGGAGTGCAGTGGCATGATCTTGGCTCACTGCAACCTCTGCCTCCCGGGCTCAAGCAATTCTCCTGCCTCAGCCTCCCAAGTAGCTGGGATTACAGGCACCCACCACTGCACCTGACTCATTTTTTGTTTTGTTTTGTTTTATATTTTTAGTAGAGACAGAGTTTCCCCATGTTGGCCAGGCTGGTCTTGAACTCCTGACCTCAAGTGACCACCCACCTAGGTCTCCCAAAGTGCTGGGATTACAGGCGTGAGTCACCATGCCCAGCCCCCACTGCAGTTAAGCTGAAGCGTAGTATTGACAGAGGCTTACAGAAAATAATCAGGCACTATTAGAGCAAAGACATTTGATTCATGCCGTTAGGTCCACTTTCCTCTGCCAGCAAGCGAGAGGAGAAGTGAAAACCTCCCTGGACTTTGCTGTCCTGCTCATTAGCACTATTCTACCTTAATGGCTTCCAACTCACAGGCCGTGGCACCATTGCAAAGGATCCTTGAATCCATATGTGTGCCAAGCTTTGTCTGCAACCTGCACAAACTGCATGCTTACAGATCAATGCACAACTGTGTTTCTAGTGGGTACAGATGCTTAAGAATTACTGAATTCAGCCAGGCATGGTGGCTCACACCTGTAATCCCAGCACTTTGGGAGGCCGAGGCAGGGGGATCACTTGAGGTCAGGAGTTCAAGACCAGCCTGGCCAACATGGTGAAACCCTGTCTCTACCAAAAATGTAAAAAATCAGCCAGTTGTGGTGGTGCATGCCTGTAATCTCAGCTACTACTAGGGAGGCTGAGGCTGGAGAACCGCTTGAACTCAGGAGGTGGAGGTTGCAGTGAGCCAAGATCAGGCCACTGCACTCCAGCCTGGGCGACAGAGCTACCGAATTCACGGTAGCTTTTTCAACATTGAGTATTTGCTCAGCCAATAAGTACTATGAACATTGCTGCTAACATGTGGAAATCCATAACATTTTTTAACATAACAAAGATTTTCTCATATCCTGAAAGATGACATCCAGCGCTGCATCCAGAGAGCCCTTTATTGCCAAAGGGAAATTTGATTTGGAAGAAACAAGACGAATGGAGTCTGCACAATTAGATGTGGTAGGCCATGAATAAACAGAACAGGTATGTCTGAATGGAAAAAACTCAAAATGTTTTTCCTCTTCTCTCACAACACAACAATCAACCCAGAAAACTTCTGTGACCAAAGGAGTAGGGGATTTTCCCCACACACCAAGCAAGCCATCGCTTCTGTAGTGGACACCAGCTGGGTGTCCTCCAATTCAATTCTGACACCATCTACCTGAAAGCACCATCAGATCCCACAGGTTTAGGGCTCAGTCCCCAAGACTTCCCCCCAATTCTGATGCCAATTGCCAGCCCTGGGTTGTTTTACCTATGCTTCTGACCAACTGGGATCCCACAGCCTCCTCCTTGCGTTTGATTAATTTGCTACAGCAGCTCGTAGAACTCCAGGAACACTGAATTCTGCATACTTGTTTATTGTACAAAGGATACAGATGAAGAGCTGCAACCATATGGGGGAAGGGGCGTGGAGCTTCCATGCCCTCCCTGGCTGGTGAAAGGAGGACGGGGGAAGGTCAGAGAGAGAGATTCTGTTTCTGAGGCCTAAAGTGCCCCACCATATAGCTAAAGACTGTAGTAAGGGCTATGGGAGTTATAAGCCAGGACCAGTAGGCAAAAACCAATCTATCTATCTATCTATCTATCTATCTATCTATCTATCATCTATAGCTATAGATATAATATCATGGCATAGGTGGAACAGTGGATGGGAGGTTAGCTTGGGGCATCAGTTGGGTTTTGCACAGATGGTTGGGTCTGAGTGAGCAAGAGAAGTTAAGGGTGAGGACCGATGGCTGTGGGTGAGACTGTGCATTGGTGGACATGAATGGGTATCCATAAGTGTGAATGGGTGTGATTGGTGTGAATGTATGTGAGTGGGTGTGAATGGGCTTGCATGGGTATGGGGCAGAGAGCGCTGCTCCCTCAGTTTTCCATCCATTCCTCCACACCTCCCAGCCACTCCTTGAAGTTAGACAGGAACTATAAGACTAGTTTGAGGTAATCAGCTATGGGCAAAAATGACTTGCGTCCCTTCTGGGCTAAAGCTTAGAAAAGCTGGTGTGTGGCCCTCTGGCTGTCTGTCCTGGTCCTGCAGTGACCAGCAACATTCTAGATGCAGAATATTATCACTTTAGGCCCCCGAGTGACTGTCAGTTTGACCCCCACTGCTAGCTGAGTTTGGACACATAGCCATGAATGAAAAGTAAACCTTAGCTGTATGAAACCCCTGAGGTTTCAGAGCTAACTTTTCTGCAGCATGACCTAACCCATTCCAGCTAATGCAATGGTGTCAGGAAGGATGACTGTCCAAGTCGTGAGGATACGCAGTGATACACGGGTATGGTTAGCCACTCATTAATTCATACAATTTATTCAACAGATGTTTATGTAGGAGGTACTGAGGAATTCATTAGTGAACAAAACAATCAAGAAGCTGGCCCTGCGGAGCTTGGATTCTAGTAGCGGACAGACAGACAATAAATAAAATTAATTGGATAGGCCAGGCATGGTAGCTCGCGCCTGTAATCCCAGCACTTTGGGAGGCCGAGGTGGGCAGATTACTTGAGGTCAGAAGTTCAAGACCCAGCCTGGCCAACATGGTGAAACCCCATCTCTTCTAAAAAATACAAAATTAGCCAGGCATGGTGGCACCTGCCTGTAATCCCAGCTACTTGGGAGGCTGAGGCAGAAGAATTGCTTGAACCTGGGAGGCAGAGGTTGCAGTGAGCTGAGATTGCACCACTGCACCCCAGCCTGGGCAACAGAGTGCGACTTCATCTCAAAAATAAATAAATAAATAAATAAATATTGGATAAATAGTATATTGGTGGATGATAAGTGTTATGGGAGAAAAAGGTGAAATATCTTCAATGTAACCCTGGCTAATAACAGTTGTATACTTAGGCCCCAATAGAGGTGGGCAAAAAGGACCCAAAACCTAACTCTGAGCTAAAGTTGTGGCTTCTCCCCTGGCCTACCCAGGAGAACCTCTGTACCTGTGTGAAACCCTGAGAGGAAAAAAGAAGGAGCCTTCAGGGGTCCTCAGTGCATTTTGCAGTCTGGCCTCTGAAGAGGAGTCAGTTCCGTTGAGTCATGAGGGGGCATCTGGGCCATATAAAATGTGGGCTGAGTAGAGGAAGGGCTGCTTTCTATCCAGAATGAATCTGCCATGGGTGACACGAATCTGCCTGGCACTTGGGACAGAGCAGTAAGCAATGAAATGAAAGTGTGCTGACTTTGGACCAGGTGCAGTGGCTCACGCCTATAATTCCAGCTACAGGAGGGAAGTGGGCACATCACAAAGTCAGGAGTTTGAGACCAGCCTGGCCAACGTGGCAAAACGCTGTCTCTACTAAAAACACAAAAATTAGCAAGGCATGGTGGCACGTGCCTGTAATCCCAGCTACTTGGGAGGCTGAGGCAGGAGAATTGCTTAAAACTGGGAGGCGGAGGTTGCAGTGAGTGGGGATCATGCCACTACACTCCAGCCTGGGCGACAAGAGCAAGACTCTGTCTCAAAAAAAAAAAAAAAAAAGAAAGAAAAGAAAAAAAAAGTGTGCTGACTTTGAACTGTGCCATTTTTTTCTTCCTAACTTTCTTCCCATTCCTAGACTTGGATGTCCATGTTTAGGGACTTAAATTCCTGGAGAGGGTATGATTCTGTTGTTTCTTCCCCTCTCTGCAGCCTGAGAGCACAGACTAGATGTCACCGTTTCCAGACTTTTATTTCATCTCTTCTAGGTAAAGATCTGCCAATTTGGTAACTAATGGCAGCATCTTCCTCCCCTTTCCAGCTCACCTTCTAGAACCTTATGCAGTAAATAAAAAGAATATTACTCAGCCTGGCTTAGCAGGAAAGCAGAAGGATGGGCGTATGGGGGGTTTCAGGATGACATTTGAAACCATGTGTCTCCTGCAGCACCAGACAGACTGTCTCAGACCCCTGGGAGGAAGATGTAACACAGACAGTCACTTGACCGTGCAAAAATTAAGTACGGTTCATTAAAACACAATATTTAGGTGTAGTAATTCTTCAGAAGCAGCTTTGAATAATTGAAGATGCATTTAATTTACTGTATTGCTCTGGTGTGAATACTAAGAGTGAGACAATAGCAATTTTTAAAGTTGAGTAAATATTGATTAATAAATTTTCAGCACAGAAGTTCCTTGTTACCAGACACATGGTTTAATTCTCTGTGCACAGGCCTTAGCTCATGCATGCTGACATTTGGCTAGTAAGTCTATTTTAAGCTCTGCCAGGCTCCCTGCTCTTATACTCACCACGTGCACCAGTTTCCAGCCTACCCACCAACCACAGACTTTGATCCCTACCTTTCTTTCATGATAGACCCTAAAAGCTCATAGAATCCATATTATTTCCAGATAATTTCTTAAATATCAACTTCATAGTAATAATATTAATGCAAAGAATGTATTAAACTTTTTAACGTAAAAGTTTACATTTTTCCCATATGCTGGGACAACTCCATAAAATAACTACTCTACCCTTCTTACTACAGAGACCTGGGTTGGTCCTAGGTCCAATCTCACTAATCAATAGCTTTGTGTCACACTAAATAAATGACCATGTACTGGCAATCTGGGAAATTCCAGTGCTTAAATAATGGCATCAGTGATAAAGAAAAATAGAAGCTAAAGAAATAACTCAGTGCACATGCATGAATAATAATTAGAATGAAAAAGCAATGGGACTATGTAAAACTTTTAAGAGGGCCCATGGAAAGAGTCCAGGACTTAGAATTTGGGGACCTGTGTTTGAAACTCAACTTTGTTACTTTGAGGGCAAAGGATATGAACAGACACTTCTCAAAAGAAGACATTTACGCAGCCAACAAACGCATGGAAAAAAGCTCAACATCACTGATCATCAGAAAAATGCAAATCAAAACCATAATGAGATACCATCTCACACCAGTCAGAATGGCGATTATTAAAGTCAGGAAACAATAGATGCTGGAGAGGCTATGGAGAAATAGGAATGCTTTTACACTGTTGGTGGGAATGTAAATTAGTTCAACTATTGTGGAAGGCAGTATGGCGATTCCTCAAGGATCTAGAATCAGAAATACCATTTGACCCAGCAATCCCATTATTGGATATATACCCAGAGGAATATAAATCATTCTACTATAAAGACACATACACACATATGTGTATTGCAGCACTATTTACAATAGCAAAGACATGGAACCAACCCAAAAGCCCATCAATGATACACTGGATAAAGAAAATATGGTACATATACACCACGGAATACTATGCAGCCATAAAAAACAATGAGATCACATCCTTTACAGGGACATGGATGAAGCTGGAAGCCATTATCCTCAGCAAACTAACACAGGAACAGGAAACCAAACACCATATGTTCTCACTCATAAGTGGGAGTTGAACATTGAGAACACATGGACACAGGGAGGGGAACATCACACACCACAGCCTGTTGGGGGGTGGGGAGTGAGGGGAGGGAACTTAGAGGACGGATCAATAGGTGTACCAGGGCACACGTATACCTATGTAACAAACCTGCACGTTCTGCACCTGTATCCCTTTTTTTTCTTTTAGGAAAAAAAAAAGAAATTCAAGTTTGTCACTTTGAGAGTAGACTTTTAATTACCAAGCACTTACTTGGCACTCTCACATGAATTAAGTTGGTTAATGTTTCTTTATCTTCTACCCTAGATGGGGCACTTCTGCTTTCATGCCTACATTTGATACTCAATATTCCAAAATGCTACACATTACTATATAATTATGTAGTGGCACATTCCAATATGACTATATAATAAATTATACAACATAATAGGAATAGACATCATAAATTATATATCATAATTTGTATGCTCCAACAGGATTTACAAAGCATTTGTCCATAAATTGTCTTACGTTTACATTGTGGATCTTCTCAACAACTCTTCAGTGGGTATCATCACCCACCTCTTTTTTTGTCAATGTGAAAGGAGAGTCTCAGAGAGCAGGTGCGGCTGCTCAGTGGTGGCCAGAAGACCAGGTCTACTGACCCTGACTCCAGAGGCCATGTGACCATAATGTCATTCATTGGTCTGTAGCCTCAGCACCAAGACCTTGGTTAACCTCTTACATTCTTTTTATGTCTTCCTAATACAAGTAAACAAGAATAATTGTCAGTGTACAAATACAAATTTTGAGCATCACAGATAAAGTAAAGCAAACTTCCCTTGACCATCACTTTTTATTTCAAGTTCTTTCCCCAAATATATCACTGACCTTAGTTTGGTAACTATGCTTCCAGAATTGTATGTATGTATGTATGTATGTATGTATGTATGTATGTATGTATGTATATACACATTTTTTAGTGTATAATACAATATTTGGAACACCCTATACTAAAGCAGTTATTTGTTACTTATCTGAAATTCACATTTAACTAGGTGACCGTATTTTTATTTGCCTAATCTGGCAACCCTTTCCTAAAGTATAGAGCCAGGCACTGCCAGGCTGGGTAACCAAAAAATTTACCTCACTCTCAAAATAGGGAATCTTTACCATTTCTGCCCAGAGACGTCATAATTACTATATAATAGTAACTTCTATGTGATTCCCTTTCTCCCCTTTTGTGGTACAATATTTTGGGTATATCTATGTTTTTTTTTCTCTACCACAGTTCACTGGGTATTCGTGGGGAAGAGCAATTGAGTTGAAATTGACAGGTCACTCGTTCATGAGGAGCAGCAGGCGACCTGAGGAAGAACCTGCTGCACATCACACAGACTGGACAGTCTGCTAGTTGCCTGCCCAAAATCCATTTGCCTTTTTTCTTTCCTGGTAGAATATCTTTAGTATTTGGGGTAGCAATGTACCCAGCTAAAAAAAATTTTTTTTGCTTCCAATGCAGATAGGGGTAGCCAATATCACACAAGCACAAGTCATTAAGTAGAACTCCCAGAAAGGCTGAGAAGGCAAAGAATCATGCGCTTTTGCTTTTCTCTGCTTTATTTCTTCTTCCTGAATGGAATGTAGATGTGATGGCCAGAGCTCCAAAAGCATCTTCAATCATAAGCAACCTTGAAAATGAAATCACTGCACTAAGGATGATGGGGCAGACAATAGATGGAACTTGGGTTCCTAGTGGTCATGGAGCTGCCATACTTGTTAAGGGCTGGTAGCCTCCAGCTCTCCTCTATGCGAAGGATCAATAATAAGGCTTCCTCTTATTTAAGCCATTGGTCTGAGTTTTCTGTCATGTTCAGCTACCACTAGTCTAAATTGACATATCCATCCTACCCCTGCTAATTTCAAATGCCTCCTTTATCATATATTGAATTCCCATGTATGATCTTTTGCTGGTTTCCCTGTTCTGGTTCATTTATCTATTTTTTTTTCCTGCACCAATACCACACTGTTTGATTATTAATGCCATATATTTTGGTGTTTAAAGCAGGGGTCCCTGACCCCCAGGCTGCAAACCAGTACCTGTCCATGGCCTGTTAGAAACCAGTCCACACAGCTGGAGGTGAGCAGCAGACTAGTGCACGTTGCCACCTGAGCTCCACCTCCTGTCAGATCAGCTGGGCATTACATTCTGACAGGCGCCCAAACCCTATTGTGAACTGTGTATGGGAAGGATCTAAGTTGTGAGCTCCTTATGAGAATCTCGCTAATGCCTGATGATCGGAGGTGGAACGCTTTCATCCGAAAACCATCTCCCCCACCCCCGTCCGTGGAAAAATTGTCTTCCACGAAACCGGTCCCTGGTGCCAAAAAGGTTGGGGATCGCTGGTCTAAAGGAGAAGATACTAGACATCACTGATGTCCTTTTTCAAATTTATCTTGTTTGTTCTTACACATCTGTTCCTTCGTATAAATTCTGGAATTTGCCTATGAAGTTCCATGAGGAATTTTGGTGACATTTTTATTGGGGTTATAGATAATTTAGAGTAAATTGGCTTATTTACAGTTGAGTGTTCCTATCTATGTAGATGGTATAATCTCTCCATTTATTTAGGTTGTTTTTGACATCTTTTGTTAAACATAATTACCTTGATAAAGATCTTTTGTGTTTCTTTTAGTTTTTTTCTATTTTATATTTTGTGGTTGCGATTTCCATTATAATTTGGAATTTTTATTACCTTTTCTAATTTATTACTGATAACCTATAGGAAATCTATTGATTTTTTATATTGAGTTTGTATTCTATCATCTTCTGAACTCTCATTGATTTTTCCAATTTTCCAGTTGATTCTCTGCCATATTCTAGGTACATAACCATATAGTTTTTTCTCTTTCTGGTATCTATGACTTTCACTTATTTTCTTTGTCTCATTTCATAGGCTAGAGGATTGTTTTTAAACCTATCACCCAGAGAGCTTTGTAACATACCAGTGCCTGAGCCCCACCCCCAGGAATTCTGACTCAGGTGCACTGAGATGGGATGCAGGCATATTGGTATTATTTTAGGACTCCCACATGATCCCAATAGACAAGCTGCTTTGAGGACCCCTGGACCAGGAGCTCAACCCCAGCATTGAGTAGGAGAGGCAATAGGCAGTATCTGCATCATGTTCCATATGTGCTAAGCACCTCAAAAACATTCAGTGTGACGTTTCCTAGGTCTCATGTAAATACCCATTACCAAATGCAGCACATTTTCTACTCTATCTAGTTCGAAGAGACTTTTTAAATAGGGAATGGAGTTTTCTTTTGTGCTTGTGTCTGACTTCTTGGCTGAAAGACACTTGATTTTAAGCTCTCTTTTATTTTTATAAAAGCATTTATGGTTATAGATTTTCCTCCGAATACCATTTTATCTATAACACAGAGTTTGCTCCCTAATGTTTTTTTAAATCAATATATAAAGAGATTTTAATTTTAATACATTTTGATTTCTTCTGTAACCCAAGAGTGGTTAGAAACACACATGGGATTTTCTAAACCTTTCAAGTAATAAGGTTTTTCAGTTATGTTTTTGTTATGAATATCTAATTCTATTGCATTTTGCATATGAAAATAGCCTGTTTGAATTCACCATATGAAAGTGGCTTGTTTCTGCCTTTTAGAACGTACTGTCATTTCCTTTGTGGCCCAACTTGAGCTGATTTTTAATCTAAAACATAATTACAAGTAATGTAGTTGAAAGCTATATTCTCTCTTAGGCACAAAACTACAAAATCAAACATTTTTATTCAAATTATCTTTTTTCTTAATTATTTTCATCTATTTAATGAGCCAATTTATGAGTGAAGAATAAGGCTTTGTCTATTTTTCCTTTCATTTCTGTTTTAACTTTATGTGTGGTTGCAGCTTTGGGCATTTCTCCTTGTATTTCTATCTGGTTTTGCTTTAATATTTCCATATCTATGCTGTTGGCATACAATGGTTCACAACTGTGATCATTACTTGATGGATTATTTCTTTTTACCTATAAACAGTGTTTCAGTTTGCCCTTTATAATGCTTTTCACCCTAAATTCCATTCTGCTTGGTGTTAATATTGCTATTCTAGATTTGTTTGTTAATATTTGTTTATATTTTTCACCCCTTTGTTTTCTTTTTTTTTTTTTAAGACAAAAAAAAGAAAACTTTTTTCTTTGTTGCCCAGGCTGGAGTGCAATCGTGTGGTCTCTGCTCACTGCAACCTCAGCCTCCTGGGTTCAAGAGATTCTCATGCCTCAGCCTCCCGAGTAGCTGGTATTATAGGCGCACACCACCATACATGGCTAATTTTTTGTACTTTTAGTAGAGACAGGGTTTCACCATGTTGGCCAGGCTGGTCTCGAACTCCCGACCTCGTGATCCACTTGCCTCAGCCTCCCAAAGTGCTGAGATTACAGGCATGAGCCACCGTGCTCAGACTCACCCCTTTATTTTCAACATTCCTCTGTCATTTTGTTTTAAGAGTTTCTTGTACAAATCACATATATCCAGATATTGGGTTTTTTACTCAGCTTAGAGTCTCTGTCTTTTAATAAGTAAATTTAACACATTATTATTGTTACTTGGACTTACACCAGCCAAGTGATTTTGTGTTTTTCATACTTTCTCACTGTTCTTGTTTTTCCCTTTCTGGCTTTGTTTGATTTGCTCAAACTTGCTTTCATTTTTCTTCTAAGTTTGAAATTTACATATTGTATTCATTCGCCCAATGTTTAGTCTTAGCTTTTTAACACTTCTACTTAGACTTGTTTTTTTTTTTTTTTTTTAATTTCTTCTTCTTTTTACAGCTCACTGGAGCCTCAAACTCCTGGGCTCAAGCAATCCTCCTACCTCAGCCTCCAGAATAGCTGAGACTACAGGAGTGTGCCACCATGCCAATTACTTTTTTAATTTTTTGTGGAGATAAGGGTCTCACTATGTTTGCCCAGGCCAATGTTATGTTTTGCTAACAGTATCCAATCTCAAGTCAGTATCTATAATCTTTGCCCAAACAAGACCAAAACCAACTCCCATTTATTTCCCTCTGCCTTCTTGTGTCACATTCATCACCACCACCTCCTTAGAATTTTTTTTTTTTTTCTGAGACAGACTCTCGCTCTGTCAGCCAGGCTGGAGTGCAGTGGCATGATCTTGGCTCACTGCAACCTCCATGTTCCAGGCTCAAGCAATTCTCCTGCCTCAGCCTCCTGAGTAGCTGGGATTACAGGCGTGTGCCACCACTTCCGGCTAATTTTTGTATTTTTAGTAGAGACGGGGTTTCACCATGTTGGCTGGGCTTGTCTCAAACTCCTGACCTCAGGTGATCCACCCACCTCAGCCTCCCAAAATGCTGGGATTACAGGTGTGAGCCACCGCGCCCAGCCCCACCTCCTTCGATTAAGCAATGTATTTAACTGGGTGTTGTCTGTGCTCATCGTTCCTTCTCACAGTTCAATGACTTTCGCTTGGATTCTTTCTGCAAGTTCTGGGAGATGATTGAGGAATCCTGATTTTTAAAAACCCAGAGGACTTGTGAGCATTGTGACAATTTCCCTGGGAAAAGACATAATTAATAAATTATACCTATTGTTACTTAAAGCATTGCAAGGTTCTGAAAATTCCATCAAGAAAAAAAAGCAAGAAGCCAAAAAGCAAAAAAGAAGAGGAAAATAAAAGCAAGAAGAGAAGGAAACATAATATCTATAAAATTCTTATAAGGAATCTGTGCCTGGGCCCAGAGAGTATGCTTGTTGGCTGTTCAGTGACTCTGTTAGTGAATACACAGAACTGGCCCCTCCATGCTCAGGTGAGAAAAGGAACAACTGTGATAAGATCATCACTTCCATCGTGTGTCCCCCAGGGAGCATAAAAGGAGGATGAGATCTACTCCCCATTATGAACCCACACTGAGTCTTGCCCAGCAAACTTGGCTATGAGCTGTCTTCATCTTGGGACCCTCTCGGATATTTGTTTGGGGACAAAAGAAATCTCACCATCGAAGGTGATAAACAATGTGGCGATAGCTGATTATTACTTAATATTAGAGAAAGGATCATTTTTCCTGCAAATGGTGCTGGAGCAATTGGATATCCATATGCAAAAATAGCAAACTTCAATTCATACCTTGCACCATGTATGCAAATTTACTCAAAATGGAGCATAGACATAAATATGAAACCTGAAACTGTGAAACTTACAGAGGAAATAGGAGAAAATCGTTGAGTTAGGCGAAGATTTCTTAGCTACAACCCAAAAGTACAACCTATACAAGAAAAAATTGTTAAATTGGATCTAATGGCTGGGTGCGGTGGCTCACGCCTGTAATCCCAGGACTTTGGGAGGCTGAGGCGGGTGGATCACGAGGTCAGGAGATGGAGACCATCCTGGCTAACACGGTGAAACCCCGTCTCCACTAAAAATACAAAAAAAAAAAAAAAAAATTCTCCGGGCGTGGTGGTGGGAGCCTGTAGTCCCAGCTACCCCGGAGGCTGAGGCAAGAGAATGGCGTGAGCCCGGGAGGCGGAGCTTGCAGTGAGCGGAGATCGCGCCACTGCACTCCAGCCTGGGCGACAGAGCGAGACTCCGTCTCAAAAAAAAAAAGAAAAAGAAAAAAAAAATTGGATTTAATGAAACCTAAAAATGTCTACTCTTTGAAAGACACTGAAAAAGCATGTAAAGACAAGCCACAGACTGAAAGAAAATATATGTAAATCATGTGTCCAGTGAAGGATGTTTATCAAGAATATGTAATGAACTCTCATTAAGAAGAAAAAAAAAAGAAACCTAAATAAAAGAAAAAGAAAAAGAAACTTCAATAAAAAGAAAATCAACAACTCAAATGATTGATTTCTATCTCTTGGTTTTCCAAAGCTTTCATCTATTTTTGTTGTTTAAGAATTAAAACAAGCTTATCCCAGAGAAGGAAGTCACCCTCAGTTTTGACAATCCTAAAACCTGGATGACATACTCCGGTAAATCTTTCAGTGATACAGTTCCTTGTATATTTTTAAATATTTTTTCACCTTTACTCTTGAATAGAAGGATACTAGGTTCTTAAATACAGAATCTAAGTTCAAATGATTTATTCATTCTTAGCTTTGAAGAAACTGCTTCTCTGCCTTGCAACCCTTGTTGATAATAAAAAGATAGACATCTTCTCAGTCTGATTCTCTTTTCTCTTTTTTTTTTTTTTTTGAGACGGAGTCTCACTCTGTCGCCCAGGCTAGAGTGCAGTGGCACAATCTCGGCTCACTGCAACCTCCACCTCCTGGATTCAAGCAATTTTCCTGCCTCAGCCTCCCAAGTAGCTGGGATTACAGGCATGTACCACCATGCCCAGTTAATTTTTGTATTTTTAGTAGAGACGGGGTTTCACCATGTTGGCCAGGCTGGTCTCGAACTTCTGACCTCAAGTGATCTGCCTGCCTCGGCCTCCCAAAGTGCTGGGATTACAGGCATGAGCCACCGCGCCCGGCTGATTCTCTTTTCTTTATAGAGAATTGTTGGTTGTTTTTTACTCTTTGGAAGTCTTTAGGATTTTTCTTGATCCTTGGTATTGTGAAATTTCACTACAATGTGTCCAATGGTCTTGCATTCATCCCATTTTGGTACTCAGTGGAGCTTTTCAGTCTGAGAACTCATATTTTTCTCCTATTCTGGGATTTTTTTACTTCTATCCTTATTTTGCATTTGTCCCCACTCTTCATTCTCTGTATTTGGGGTGCGGGGAGTGGATAGCTACTACCACTGGCTTCCCCAATAGCTATTCTCTCCTTTCTTCTTAGAAACAGAATACTGATTTTAGCAGGACACATTGCCATGAAGAATGTCTACTTCGAAGCTAACTGTGGCCACGTGTTTAAATTCTAGACAATGAGATCTAAGCAA
The DNA here is from genome assembly GCF_000001405.40 of Homo sapiens. Taxonomy (NCBI): domain Eukaryota; kingdom Metazoa; phylum Chordata; class Mammalia; order Primates; family Hominidae; genus Homo; species Homo sapiens. The sequence goes on along the minus strand of NC_000017.11, from coordinate 5,736,240 downwards.
AAGTGTTTTGCAGAATTCTGGGAAGCCTGCTTAAAGGGAGTTGAGTTAACTGGGCAGGTCTGGCTTTTCTCTTTTTCCCTGCCTGCAGCCATTAGGTGAGCTTCAAGAGCCCATGTGCTGGGCTGGCAAAGCAGGAAGACAGGAATCAGGGTCCTCAATGATACTTGTAGAGCCATACACCAGCTCTCCTTTCCTCTGTACTTTTCTTTGGTCGATAAGTAATCTCTATCTTGTTAAGCCACCATTTTTTGCATCCTATTATTCCTAAGTAATACTAATAATCCTTTAGAATCCTTCTGACGTTTTTATTATAGGAATGTTAGAAATTCTAAATTTATGCTACGTGCATCAGTCTTTTTTCCTATGTTTCTCTTGGTTGGTTCAGTGTTGCATTCTAAAGTTCTCAGTTCAGTCTTCTAAGTTACTAATTTACACTTCAGCTGAGGCCAATCTGCTCAACTTTCTATTTTGTCAGTTTCAATCGTGATTTTTTATTTCCAAGATATCAAGTTGATTTTTTTAATTATGATAAAACACACATAACACAAAATCACCACCTTAATTATTTTAAAAGTACAGTTCAGTAGCATTGAGTATGTTCACATGGTTGCAACCATCATCACCATCCATCTCCAGAACTTTTTCATCCTTTCAAACTGAAACTGTTTTCATTAAACACCAACTCTCCATTTTCCCCTCCCCCTGGGCTCTAGAAATCACCTTTCAACTTTCTATCAATTTGACCACTCTAGGTCACTTACATGAACAGAATCATAGAGTATGTGTCCTTTTGTGACTGACGTATTTCACATAGCATAATGTCTTCTTCAGGTTCCTCCATGTGATAGGATTTTCTTCCTTTTTAAGGCTGAACATTCTCTGGTAACATTCTCCTGGATGAAGATGGCATTTTGGTTTATCCACTCATCCATCAATGGACACTTGGGCTGCTTCTGCCTTTTTGCTATTGAGGATAATGCTGATATGAACGTGGGGGTAGCAGACTGATTCTTAGGGCAATCTCTTCTCATCTCCTTCTTTTTTTTTTTTTTCCTTTCACTTTAAGTTCTGGGATACTTGGGCAGAACATGCAGGTTTGTTACATAGCTATACTGTGCTATGGTGGTTTGCCGCACCTAACAACCCGTCACCTAGGTTTTAAGCCCTGCATGCATTAGGTATTTGACCTAATGCTCTCCCTCCCCTTGCCCCCCACCCACCAACAGGCCCTGGTGTGTGATATTTCCCTCCCTGTGTCCAATGTGTTCTCGTTGTTCAACTCCCACTTATGAGTGAGAACACGCAGTGTTTGGTTTTCTGTTCCTCTGTTAGTTTGCTGAGAATGATGGGTTCCAGCTTTATCCATGTCCCTGCAAAGAACATGAACTCATTCTTTTTATAGCTACATACTATTCCCTTCTCATCTCTTTCTAGGGATAATAACTACATGTACTCAAGGCCCTGCTCCACTTGCGTTTTTAATTTTGTTCTCAGATATAAGTTCATGTGTTGACTTTGATGTCCCTTTCACGGTGCTGGCTTCCCTCAAGTGTTGTTGGCTTCTGGGTGTATGCTCATCGTTGTTTGTAAGCTCATCTTTGTTTGTAAAAGTCTCTGTGCGCCAGGCTGGAGAAGTTACACTGATGTACACTAGCCTGAATATAGGAAGGGGTTGAATGTGCTACCCAGGCAGATACCTCAGCCTCTCTCTTGATTATGGCAGAGATGTGAGACATGTAGGAGAGAGGGGCATTAACTAACCTTCTGGGCACATGGGCTGTCTGGTTTTGCTGGGAGTTGTCAGCCACCCCAGATCCTAGTCTGCCTCTCTGACCCAAAAAACCACACTTATTGCTCCCTCTTTTTTTTTTTTTTTTTTTTTTTTTTTGAGACAGAGCCTTGCTCTGTCACCCAGGCTGGAGTGCAGTGGTGCGATCTTGGCTCACTGCAACCTCCACCTCCCAGGTTCAAGTGATTCACCTGCCTCAGCCTCCTGAGTAGCTGGGACTGCAGGCACCTGCCACCATGCCTGGCTAACTTTTTTGGATTTCTACTAAAGACAGGGTTTCGCCGTGTTAGCCAGGATGGTCTCGATCTCCTGACCTCGTGATCTGCCCACCTCGGCCTCCCAAAGTGCTAGGATTACAGGCGTGAGCCACCGTGCCCGAACTTGCTACTTCTTAAAACAAGACATTTCGTTGTTTGCTACCTGATAAAGGGGCGGCATCTCCCATCTGTGGCTCGATCAGGAGCATCAGGGTCCCATCTCATCCTGGCATCACAATCTCCAGGCCTGCCATGCCCTTGCCCCCTTGCCCATCTTTTGCATCCTTCCTCTCCTACAGATGATTTTTGACTGCAGTTTCCTTGCTTCATCTAAGGAGCTTCTTATAATTACTGTCCATCAACTGCCTCTCTCCTTCCTTCCCAGCATGGTAATGAGAACTTGTTACAATAATTATTTCTGTCACTCTCAGAAGTTAGGGCAGGAGGGGGAGGCTGCTGAATATACATTATCTGCTCTCTTGAACTGGTTGTCTAGTTGTTTTTAAAGTTTCTTATTCTCAAATCACCAGCGCAAATCCAACAGAGACTGTTATTTTGGGGAGGATCATAAAACACAGAACAGATAGTGCTGTGGCATTCACGCATCTGTCTCTGTGAAGCAAGCAGGAATTTTTTGGTGGCCAAATATTTTGACAAAAGCTTTGCAATTTCCTTCTTGTGCTCTCCCTAAGGAATAGTTAAGCCCAGAGATTCTGTGGATAGTGGTTGGCCTAAAAATGCAAATATTTCTTTGAGTAATGTGGGTTTATCCTGACCCCATCCATGTAATACCTGTGCAGCTAGAAGGAAAATTTTTCTTCTCTCATAATTACCGGTAGGCTTAGGAAACACGCCTTTCTGGGGACGATTCCTAGATAATCTTACCTGGGTTAGAAGCTGAGACTTTAGAGGAGGAGGCAGAAGATAAATAATATAGGAGAGGTAAACTTTTTCTCTATCTTTTTAGGTTTGGTGATTGGAGCTCTGTAAATTAAACTGACAAAAGACACATTCGCAAGAGAAGAGAAGAGTTTACTTACGCAAGCCTGAGTGTTCAGTGATGAGTAACTCAAAGTCGTGATTAGAATTTGGGGCTTAAATACCTAACCTAGTAGGGGAAAGGGAGGAGGGAGAAAAGGCTCCTATGGGAAATACAGATGGGCTTCTTTAGGAAATACATTTTTTTCAGGATAACAGGACATTTTTTGAAGAGTGTGGTGATGTCTTTCCATACAAATAAAGGTGGTCTTTCCATCTTCCTCAGGGCCATGAAACTCCCCCGGAGAAGGGATCTATGGTAGCTTCATTTACCAGAAGTTGCTGCTTTTAGTCAGATAAGGGAAGCTCTGAGGAGGCTTTTCTCTGCGTCTGTTGAACCTCAAATGTCTTCAGTTTAAAATAATCTTTATTCCAACTCTGGGCTTCTGAGTGGGTCCACACAGTAAGCTCATATGAGCTTTAGATGGTGGGAAGAGGGCTGGTGACCCTGAAAAAGAGAGGAAAAGAGAGAGGAAGGGGAAGAGGAACAGTGAAATGGATGAAGATTCTGGGGAGCCTGGCGAGACCCCTCAAATCTTGAGCAAGTCCCCCACACCCATGAATCATCTGTTGGGAGCACCCTTAGTGAAACCACTGCAGACTGGGTTTTTTATCCAAGATGGCAGGAGGCTGCACCCTCTAATGCCGAAAAGAACAGACTGAAGAATTAGGCCATCAGGAATTGTCCAGGATCATGAGGAAGACCCTCAGCTTTCGCAGGCTGTAACTTGGGAGGGTTGAACCAAGCTTACCTAAATTTCCAGGAGGCACAGAAGCCCCGTTTGAGAAGGGTAACATGTAAACGTCAAGCAGAGTCCGTCAGGGGTGTGAGCTTTGAGCTGAGTGCCCAGCAGACGGGACTCCAAGTCCCTTCTTTTCTGTGTCCCAGTCTCCCTGGGAACCTACTCCACCGGGAGCAACAGCCCTGATTCCAAATACCTTTAAAATGTCCTGGAAATGTTGTTTTTTTTTTTTTTTTAGCATCTAAATGATATGCCCCAGACTTCTTCTATTCCAACTGTTTCTTTTTTTTTTTTTTTTTTTTTTTTTGAGACCAAGTCTCGCTCTGTCACCCAAGCTGGAGTCCAGTGCCATGATCTCGGCTCACTGCAAGATCTCGGCTCACCACAGCCTCCGCCTCCCGGGTTCAAGCAATTCTCCTGGCTCAGCCTCCTGAGTAGCTGGGATTACAGGCACATGCCACCATGCCAGGCTAATTTTTGTATTTTTAGTAAAGCCAGTGTTTCACTATGTTGGCCAGGCTTGTCTTGAACTTCTGACCTCATGATCTGCCCACCTCAGCCTCCCAAAGTGCTGAGATTACAGGCATGAGCCACCGCGCCCAGCCTGTCACCTCTGTTCTATCTTCCAATTCTGTATTCCAAATTCCAAATTCTGCAGTTCAAACTCAAGTTCTGAATTCTAAGTTGTACCTTCTGGATTCTGTTACATGTCTGTCTCCTGCCCCTAAATCCTTCCTGGGTCCCATCCTTTTTCCCTGTCTTTTTGGATGGAATGTCTGGACATCCTCCTGACCTTGCCGATTTGAGGGGTTTTTTTTAGCAGTTCCAGGATTTTCCCCATCAGGAGGGACTTGGTTTAGACTAAACAGCAAGTGGGTGGCAGTGGCTCAGTGGAGATCAGGGAATTCCTGAGGACCTGGCTTGGCCTGACCTGACCTCCTTCCCTCCCATCCCACCTCTAACCACTGGACATACTTCCTTTTGTGCAATTAAGCTAAACCGAGGATTTCTGTGGTGATAGCTGGGGACTGAGAAATCTTAGGAAAAGATGTCAGCAGACCTAGAAGATTGCTATGTTTCATTCAGAGAAATTAGGAACTACTTCCAGCAGGGGGAAGGAGGGAGGAGGGGAAGGCAGGAAGGAGCTGAGCTGAGCTCTAAGTCCTCAGAATTTGTCATCCTTCAGTTCCCCGTTGTCTGAGCTAAGCATGGACCCTCAGAGTCCTCCCAGAGCCAAGAGAAAACCATGACAGTAGGACTGGGGTGCTCCTCTGTCCAGGGTTGCCCTGAGGGAGAAAGGGAAGAAGGTAGAAGTGTTGGGAGCATGACTGGAGAGGTGAGGTCTTCAAGAGGACCTCAAGAGGATCCTCAAGAGGATCCAAGACTCCACGTGTTGCCCGAGGGGAACTGTACAATAGACATTTCATCCCAAGCCCTCTTCCTGCAGGCAGCACTTCGGGTCTCCTCCCAAGACTGTGGGTCTTTATAGGACCAGAGATGATGCACAAGGTGGAGCTCTCCTATTTGGGAGGAGCCACGATCACCTCCTGGTTCTCCTGCTGGGACTTGCTGCTGGTACCTGCTGGCAGGACCCCAATTGTTCCCCTACTCCATCATGGTTCCTGGCTTCAGCTTGCATGTCCTCAGCTCATAAGATGTTGGGGTCCACGCTGGGCTATGGCTCATTCCAGAAGCTGAACTCAAGGAGCAATTGGTGTCTCCTGGACAACAGCATCCAGCTGCACTCCTTCCGGACCTCCAGGTACTCCTTGTCATGCAGTCCGCGAGGGCTGAGTAGCCACCTGAGAACCTCCACAGGTGCAGTGCCTGGTCCTGCTCCCTACAGCACGTGTTCCACTTGCCCATGAGGGAGCAGGGTAGTCCTCATCCTAGTGCAGTATGGACAGTGCTGCCTCCATCAGTGCCTACTATAGGCATCCGGGCACTCAGGCTTCTCACTGTGAAACTGGATCTTGTAGAGGTTGCTGGTCTCCTTCTTGGACAGCAGGGCAGAGTGGGCATCCTTCCAGGGATCCACTTTGTGAACAAAGAGGGAGCAGAACCAGTAGCCTTCGTTGTCCTTGGGATAGAAATGCAGCACAGCCGCAGCTGCAACATCCCCAGCACAGGCCTGGGCCTTCCAGTAGCCACTGTGACACTGCAGAGATGCTGCACAGCCACGAAGCCATGTTGGATCAGGGAAGGTTGCAGGAAGACCTCATGGTGTGTTTGAAGAGAATGTATATTCTGCTCTCACTGGGTGGAGTTGCACTAGGTTGGTGCAAAAGTAATTGCAGTTTTGGCCCATGAATTTTAAATCATTATAACTAGGTTCAAACACGTTTTTTTTACTTTTAATTTTTTAATTCAATAGGTTTTGGAGGGGGGGAACCGGTGGTGTTTGGTTACATTAATAAGCTCTTTAGTGGTGATTTCTGAGATTTTGGTGCATCCATCACCCAAGCAGTGTACACTGTACCCAATGTGCAGTCTTTTATCCCTCACCACCCCCGACCCTTTCCCCTGAGTCCCCAAAGTCCAATGTATCATTCTTACGCCTTTGTGTCCTCATAGCTTAGCTCCCACATATAAGTGAGAACATACAATGTTTGGTTTTCCATTCCTGAGTTACTTCACTTAAAATAATAGTCTCCAATTCCACCCAGGTTGCTGTGAATGCCATTAATTCATTCCTTTTTATGGCTAAGTAGTATTCCATTGTATGTATATACCACAGTTTCTTTATCCACTTGTTGACTGATGGGCATTTGAGTTGGTTCCACATTTTTGCAATTGCGAATTTTGCTGCTATAAACATGTGTGTACAAGTTTCTTTTTGGTATAATGACTTCTTTCCCTCTGGGTAGATACCCAGTAGTGGGATGGCTGGATCAAATGGTGGATCTACTTTTAGTTCTTTAAGGAATCTCCAAACAGTTTTTCATAGTGGCTGTACTAGTTTACATTCCCACCAACAGTGTAAAAGTGTTCCCTTTTCACTGCATCCATGCCAACATCCATTACTTTGATTTTTTTTATTATGGCCATTCTTGCAGGGGTAAGGTGATATCACATTGTGGTTTTGACTTGCACTTCCATTATAATTAGTGATGCTGAGCATTTTTCCATATGCTTGTTGGGGCCATTTGTTTATCTTCTTTTGAGAATTGTCTATTCATGTCCTTAGCCCACTTTTTGATGCAATTGTTTGTTTTTTTTTTCTTGCTGATTTGTTTGAGTTCATTGTAGATTCTGAATATTAGTCCTTTGCCTGATGTATAGATTGTGGAGATTTTCTCCCACTCTGTGGGTTGTCTGTTGACTCTGCTGATTATTCCTTTTGCTGTGAAGAAGCTTTTTAATTTAATTAAGCCCCATCTATTTATCTTTGTTTTTGTCACATTTGCTTTTGGGTTATTGGTCATGAAGTCTTTGCCTAAGCCAATGTCTAGAAGAGTTTTCCTGATACTATCTTCTAAAATCTTTATGGTTTCAGGTCTTAGATTTAAGCCCTTAATCCATCTCGAGTTGATTTTTGTATAAGATGAGAGATGAGGATCCAATTTCATTCTTCTACATGTGGCTTGCCAATTATCCCAGCACCATTTGTTGCATAAGGTGTCCTTTCCCCACTTTATGTTTTTGTTTGCTTTGTCAAAGATCATTTGGCTTTTTTTCTGGGTTCTGTATTCTGTTCCATTAGTCTATGTGCCTATTTTTATAATAGTACCATGCTGTTTTGGTGACTATGGCCTTATAGTATAGTTTGAAGTCGGGTAATGTGACGCCTCCAGATTTGTTCTTTTTGCTTAGTCTTGCTTTGGTTATGTGGGCTCTTTTTTGGTTCCATATGAATATTAGGATTGTTTTTTTCTAATTCTGTGAAGAATGATGATGGTATTTTGATGGGAACTGCATGGAATTTGTAGATTGCTTTTGGCAGTACGGTCATTTTCACAATATTGATTCTACCCATCCATGAGCATGAGATGTGTTTCCATTTGTTTGTGTCATCTATGATTTCTTTCAGCAATGTTTTGTGGTTTGTCTTGTAGAAGTCTTTCATGTCCTTGGTTAAGTATATTCCTAAGTATTATTTTTTGTAACTATTGTGAAAGGGGTTGAGTTCTTGATTTGATTCTCGGCTTGGTCACAGTTGGAATATAGCAGAGTTCCTGATTTGTGTACATTAATTTTGTAACCTGAAACTTTGCTGAATTCATTTACTAGTTCTAGGAGCTTTTTGATGAGTCTTTAGAGTTTTTCCAGGTATACGATCATATCATCAGCAAACAGCAACAGTTTGACTTCCTCTTTATCAATTTGGATGTCTTTTATTTTTCTCTCCTCTCTGATTGCTGTGGCTAGGACTTCCATTACTATGTTGAATGGAAGTGGAAAAAGTGAACATCCTTGTCTTCTTCCAGTTCTCGGGGGAGTGCTTTCAACTTTTCCTCATTTAGTATAATGTTCCTCATTTAGCCGTGAGTTTGTCATAGATGGCTCTTATTACCTTAAGGTATGTCTCTTCTATGCTGAATTTGCCAAGGGTTTCAATCATAAAGTGGTGCTAGATTTTGTCAAATATTTTTTCTGCATCTATTGAGATGATCATGTGATTTTTTTGTTTTTAATTCTGTTTATGTGGTGTATCACATTTATTGACTTGTGGGTGTTGTATCAGTCGGGGTTCTCTAGAGGAGCAGAAAAGTAGGATAGATGTATATATAAAGGGGAGTTTATTAAGGAGTATTGATTGGCTCACACAATCACAAGGTAAGGTCCCACAATAGGCCGTCTGCAAGGTGAGGAGCAAGGAAGCTAGTTCGAGTCCCAAAACCTCAAAAGTAGGGAAACTAACAGTGTAGCCTTCAGTCTGTGATTGAAGGTCCAAGAGTCCCAAAGCTGAAGAACTTGGAGTCTGATATTAGTGGGCAGGAAGCATCCAGCGTGGGAGAAAGATGTAGGCCAGAAGACTCAGCCAGTCTAGTCCTTCCATATTCCTCTGCCTGTTTTTATCCTAGCTGCACTGGCATCTGATTAGATGATGCTCACCCAAATTGAGGGTAAGTCTGCCTCTCCCAGTCCACTGACTCAGATGTTAATCTCCTTTGGCAACACCCTCAGGGCGCACCCAGGAACAATACTTTGCATCCTTCAATCCAATCAAGTTGACACTCAATATTAACCATCACAGATGTTAAACCATCCCTGCATCCCTGGTATGAAAGCCACATGAAACATATCTTTGTTAGTCAAAATAGGAACCATTACAAGCAACACATTTTTGTCAATGAGAAATAAGTTTGTTTATTCCTGTAGCGTAAAAAATCCTTGCTTCAGGATTGAAACGAACTCACGGAAAGCATTTTCTGCATCCTGCTGGTTGTGGAAGCCTTTTCCCTGCAAAAAATTGTCGAGATGCTTGAAAAAGTGGTAATCAATTGGCAAGAGGTCAGGTGAATATGGCAGGTGAGGCAAAACTCTGTAGCCCAATTTATTCAACTTTTGAAGTGTTGTTTGTGTAACAAGTGGTCGGATGTTGTCATGGAGAAGAGTTGGGCCCTTTCTGCTGACAAATGTTGGCTGTAGGTATTGCCGTTTTTAGTGCATCTCACCGATTCGCTGAGCATTCTTCTCAGATGTAATGGTTTTGCTGGGATTCGGAAAGCTGTTGTGGATCAGACTGGCAGCAGACCACCAAACAGTGACCATGACTTTTTTGGTGCAAGTTTGGCTTTTGGAAGTGCTTTGGAGCTTCTTCTCAGTCCAACCACTGAGCTGGTTATTGCCGGTTGTCATGTAAAATCCACTTTTAATCACACATCACAATCCGATCGAGAAATGGTTCATTGTTATTGCATAGAATAAGAGAAGATGATAGTTGAAAATGATTTTTTTTTTATTTTTGCTCAGTTCATGAGCTTATCGAGCTTTTTCACCTTTCCAATTTGCTTCAAATGCCAAACGACCATAGAACGGTCGACATTGAGTTCTTTGGCAACTTCTTGTGTAGTTGTAAGAGGATCAGCTTTGATGATTGCTCTCAATTGGTCATTGTCAACTTCCGATGGCAAGCCACTACACTCCTCATCTTCAAGGCTCTTGTCTCCTTTGCAAAACTTCTTGATCCACCACTGCACTGCCCGTTTGTTAGCAGTTCCTGGGCCAAATGTATTATTGATGTTGCGAGTTGTCTCCCCTGCTTTACGACCCATTTTGAAGTCAAATAAGAAAATCGCTTGAATTTGCTTTTTGTCTAACATCATTTCCATAGTCTAAAATAAACATAAAATAAACAGAATAAACAGCAAGTAATAAGTCATTAGAAAAAAAAATGAGAAATGCCCATTAAAGTGATGTATAACATAACACATTTATTTAAGAATGTATTCCAATATCAAAGAGCAAATTCCAACAATGCAAAAACCACAATTACTTTTGCACTCACAAAAGTAATTCACTAAATGTGAATTTAGTGAAATTGGCTCATGGTGTTCAAAACTTCTGTATCTTTATTGATTTTCTTAATTTTTCTATCAGTTATTGAGAAGTGAGAATTGAAACATCTAAGATTGTGGATTTGTCTATTTTTTCCATGAAATTACCTCAGTTTTTGCTTCAAGTATTTTAAGACTCTTATTAGATTCATAAAATTTTAGGATTATTATGTTCTCTTGATGAATTGATCCTTTTCCCATTACAAAATCATCTTCTTTACCCCTCATAATTTTTTTGGCTCTGAAATTTAATATAGACACATAAGTTTTCATTTAATTAATGTTAGCATGCTATATCTTTTTCCATCCTTTTATTTTTAATCTACTTGTGTATTTTATTTTTAAGGTGTGTTTTTTGTGGACAGTGTGTAATTAGGCCATGTTTTTTATTCAGTCTGAAATGTTTTAAATTGGGGTGTTTAGACCATTTACATTTAATGTGATTATTACTATGGCCAAGTTTAAATCTGTCATCTTACTATTTGTTTTCCATTTGTCCCATTTTTTTATTTTTTGCTCTTTTTCTGCCTTCATTTGGTTTAAGCAAGTATGTTTTATGATTTTATCTCCTTTGTTGGTTTATAAACCATCACTTTTTGTTTTGTTAATCATTTCATTAGTTTATTTTTTATATATGTATATATATATTTAACCTGTTATAGTCCACTTACAAGTGATATGATGCCATTTTAAGTATGGTATGGGAAACTTACGATAGCGTAGTTCCATTTATCCCCACCCAACTTTTGTGTTCATGTTATTATACATTTTCCTTTTGTATATGTTACAAACCCTGCAGTACATTGTTATTATTTTTAATTACACAAACATTATCTTTAAGGTTTAAGTGATAAGAAAATGTCATATATTTACATATGTAGTTACTATTTCTAGTGCTCTTTATTCTTTCGTGTAGATACTGATTTTCACTTGATATCATTTTCCTTCTGTCCAGAAGACTTCTTCTAACATTTCTTAGCATATGGGTCTGTTGGCAATGAATTTTTTTAACCTTTGATTTTGAAAGACATGTCTGTTAAGTATAGAATTCTAGTAGACAGTATTCATCTTTCAGTATTTTAATGATGTTTCTCTATTGTCCCCTTGTTTGCACTGTTTCTGGCAAGTCTACTGCCATCCTTAACTTTGTTCTCTGTATAGTAACATCTTTCTCTGTAGTTGCTTTTAAGATTCTCTCTTTATCATTGATTTTTAGCAATTCGATTGTCATGTACCTTGGTGTGGTGTTCTTTATGTTTCTTGTTCTTGGGATTTATTGAGGTTCTTGGATGTGAGTTTATAGTCTTAATCAAATTTGGACATTTTGTGACCATTATTCCTTAAAATATTTTTCTGCCCCACCCACTACTCTGCCTGTCTTTTCTTCTGGTGACTCCAATTACATGTATATAAAGCCACCTGAAATTGTCCCATAGTTCACTAATGCTATATTCATTTCTTTCTATTTTTTCTTCTGTGTGTTCATTTTTATAGTTTCTATTACTATGTCTTCAAGTTCAATAATTTTGTATTCTACAATGTTTAATCTGCCATTAATCCCATCCAATGTATTTTTCACTTCAACCATTATAGTTTTAATCTCTAAAAGTTTGACTTTGGCCTTTTTAAGTATCTCCCATATCTCTACTTATTATCATATGGAATACAGTTAAAATAACAAGTTAAATGTCTTAATCTGCCCATTCTAATATTTGTTGCTGTTCTGGATTGATGTCAAATGATTAATTTTTCTCCTCATTGTGGATAACATATTTCTGATTCTTGGCATGCCTGATAACTTCTTATTGGATGCCAGATTTTATAGATCTACCTTTTGGGGTGCTGGATATTTTTGTATTCCTATACATATTCTTAAACTATGTTTCTGTAATGCAGTTAAGTTACTTGGAAACAGAGATCCTTTCTGCTTTTGCTTTTAAAATCCTTTCTGCTTTTGCTTTTAAAATTTGTTAGGCAGGTTCTGTGCTCATTATTTCCACTAGTGAGGCAAGACCTATCTTAGTTCCATACTCCATGCCTTAAGAACCATGAGGTTTCAAATCTTTCTGGTAGAAACAGCTAGAGTGTGTTCTCAGCCCTGTGTGAACACTAGGCACTGTTACCTCTAACCTTTTTGAATGGACTTTCCCTGGCCCCAAGTAATTTTCTCACATGCAGGCCCTGATGAGTTCTGCACTGAGTTCTTGAGTGGGGCCCTCTGAAGCTCTCCAGAGTTCTCTCTGTGCAGCTGTCTCCTCTCCAGTATTCTATCTGCCCTGCTCTCCCAGACTCAGTCCATCTCCTCAGTTCAAGAACTCTCCTGGGCTTAGCCTTGGTGCTATGAACGGAATGTTTGTATTCCCCAAAATTCATATGTTGAAACCAATGTGATGATATTTGGGGATGGGTCCTTTGGGAAGTGTTTAGGTGTTGAGGGTAGAGCCCCCATGATGGGATTAGTGCCCACATAAGGAGAGATGTAAGAGGGCTTGCTTCCTCTCTGTGCTCTCTATCTACCATGTGAGGACACCATGAGAACTCAGCCACATGTAAACCAGGAAGAGGGCCCTCATCAGAACCCAACCATGCTGGCACCCTGGTCTCAGCCTTACAGACTTCAAACCTATAAGAAATAAATTCCTATTGTTCAAGCCACCCAGTCTATAGTATTCTGTTATAGCAGATTGAACTAAGACATTGGATCCCCGCTCCTTGTGCTGCATCCTGGAAACCCAAGTTTCTATCCATATGGATGGAAATAAAAGTAGGGAAATGCCGCAATTTATAGATATTTCAAAACATCATGTCATACACCATAAATACACACAAAAATAAAGTAGAAAAAATATTGGGGTAAGACAAGAGGTAGAGATGGGGTAAGGGATAAGCTCCAGGATATCAGGATATGATGCTAGAGAGATGGTCGGAGCCAAATTCAAAGGCCTATAAGGAGCCTGGATTCAATTCCAGAGGCAATGGGGAGCCACCAGAAGACTTTGAGCAGAATAGGCATCATCTGTTCTGGTCTGCTTGCATTGGCTAATAGTTATTGAGTGTCTATTATGAACCAAATCCATTTCCACATGCTTTATCCACATGCTATATCACATCATATAATTCACACAAACCCTACCAGGAAGGTTCTGTTATCTTCATTTCACTTACAGGGAGGAGGAGACACAGAAAGGTTAAGGGACTTGCCATGGGTGACAGCACATCACAGGTTCAGAGCCTGTGTCCTCTGCAACCACCACTCCAGCTATAGTATGGAGCTGGGCAGAGCAACACTAAAGGCAGGTAACCATCTGGGAGGAGGCACGAGGCCTGAACCAAGGCAGTGGTGTGGGGGTGGAGCAAGGGAACCATCAGAAGGAAAGACAGGATGCAGTCACCAAGTTGTTATTTATATGCTTGAGAGAGGAAAGGATTTGAAAAGAAAGGCTTTCAGAGGGTGCCATTCACTCAAATGGGGACCATTAGGAAGGGCAGGCAGGAGAAGGTGATGATTTCATCTGGCTGTGCTGGGTTCACATTCCCAGGGTCATCTGGAAAGAGCTGTCCGGAAGGTGAACAGGTAAAGGTCTGCAGCTCAGGGGAAGGGCCCGGGTAGGATTAGCATGTCATCTACAACCAGGTGTTAGTAATTGCCATAGGATAGATGAGGCCTCTTAAGAAGTGGTGGATGAGATGATTGGCTCTGGCAAAGGATCCAGCTGGGGACAGGAGCTAGAATTAGGGCTTGAGCCTCAGGACAAGTCATCCCTTCTTCCTGATGCCTAATCTCAGAAACTCCTAGGAACAACCTACAATGTGCACCGTGTAACGGTCCACCATGCCCCAAGCCTGGGAATACACCACACCACAGAAGAAGCAGCTAAGTAAGATGAAAAGTGTCAGGGCCGCTCTCCCTCTCCCCTCTCCCCTCTCCCCTCTCCCCTCTCCCCTCTCCCCTCTCCCCTCTCCCTTCTCCCCTCTCCCCTCTCCCTCTCCCTCTCCCTCTCCCTCTCCCTCTCCCTCTCTTTCCACGGTCTCCCTCTCATGCCGAGCCGAAGCTGGACTGTGCTGCTGCCATCTCGGCTCACTGCAACCTCCCTGCCTGATTCTCCTGCCTCACCCTGCCGAGTGCCTGCGATTGCAGGCGTGCGCCGCCACACCTGACTGGTTTTCGTATTTTTTTGGTGGAGACGGGGTTTCGCTGTGTTGGCCGGGCCGGTCTCCAGTTCCTAACCGCGAGTGATCCGCCAGCCTCGGCCTCCCGAGGTGCCGGGATTGCAGACGGAGTCTGGTTCACTCAGTGCTCAATGGCGCCCAGGCTGGAGTGCAGTGGCGTGATCTCGGCTCGCTACAACCTCCACCTCCCAGCAGCCTGCCTTGGCCTCCCAAAGTGCCGAGATTGCAGCCTCTGCCCGGCCGCCACCCCGTCTGGGAGGTGAGGAGCGTCTCCGCCTGGCCGCCCATCGTCTGGGACGTGAGGAGCCCCTTTGCCCGGCCGCGACCCCGTCTGAGAAGTGAGGAGCGTCTCCGCCCGGCCACCACCCCGTCTGGGAGGTGTGCCCAACAGCTCATTGAGAATGGGCCGGGATGACAATGGCGGTTTTGTGGAATAGAAAGGGGGGAAAGGTGGGGAAAAGATTGAGAAATCGGATGGTTGCTGTGTCTGTGTAGAAAGAAGTAGACATGGGAGACTTTTCATTTTGTTCTGTAGTAAGAAAAATTCTTCTGCCTTGGGATCCTGTTGATCTATGACCTTACCCCCAACCCTGTGCTCTCTCAAACATGTGCTGTGTCCACTCAGGGTTAAATGGATTAAGGGCGGTGCAAGATGTGCTTTGTTAAACAGATGCTTGAAGGCAGCATGCTCGTTAAGAGTCATCGCCACTCCCTAATCTCAAGTACCCAGGGACACAAACACTGCGGAAGGCCGCAGGGTCCTCTGCCTAGGAAAACCAGAGACCTTTGTTCACTTGTTTATCTGCCGACCTTCCCTCCACTATTGTCCCGTGACCCTGCCAAATCCCCCTCTGCGAGAAACACCCAAGAATGATCAATAAAAAAAATAAAAATTAAAAAAAAAAAAAAAAGAAAAGTGTCAGACCCAAGCGCAGTGGCTCACACCTGTAATCCCAGCACTTTGGGAAGACAAGGCAGGTGGATCACCTGAGGTCAGGAGTTCGAGACCAGCCTGGCCAACATGGTGAAACCCCATCTCTACTAAAAATACAAAAATTAGCCAGGCATGGTGGCATATGCCTGTAACCCCAGCTACTTGGGAGGCTGAGGCAGGAGAATTGCTTGAACCAGGGAGGCAGAGGTTGCAGTGAGCCAAGACCACACCATTGCACTCCAGCCTGGGCAACAAGAGCAAAACTCCATCTCAAAAAAAAAAAAAAAAGAGAAAACGAAAGAAAAGAAGAAAAGGAAAAGAAAAGAAAAAGAATAGGTAAAGAAAAGAAAAGGAGTCAGACTTCAGAGTCAGACAGACCTGAGCATGAATCACAGCTCCATCATTTACCAGTTGTGTGACTGTGAACAGATCATTTAGCTTCTCTAAGTCTTCATTTCCTTAACAACAACAAAAATGATGCAGCTAATAATGCCTACCCTGAAGAGTGTATGTGAGGATGAAATGAGAAAACGTATGGAAAGCACTACGTAGACACACAGTAGATATTCAGTAAGTGACCACGTAGCCATCTCTCCTGCAGTCCCAGCCGCTTACTTCTTCAGAGCACATTTGATGTCATTCTGGCCTTGGCAGAGCTCCCCTCTAGACCTTCTCCAACTCCTTCATTTGTGCTGATGGGAAGCAGGAAGGCTACAAACCACTTGGCAAAGAAGTCATCCTTAAAGAATTTAGCATGTTTAGTGGGAAATGTTTTAATCAGACAGTTGCAAGTTCCAAAACAGACTCCAACACTTGCTGGGTATGTGATCTTAAGCAAGTCATCCAACCTGTCTGAGCCTCAGTTTCCTGATCTGTAAATGGGGGTGATAACACCATCTCATAGGACTGGCCTAAGGATTGAATGAGATCCCAGATGCAAAACACCTGCCACAGAGTCTGACATATTGCAGGTGCCTAATCAATGTTAGTTACTACAACTTTCAGCTTTCTTTTTTTTTTTCCTCTGTCTCTCTCTGTCATCAGGCTGGAGTGCAGTGGTGCGATCTCAGCTCACTGCAGTCTCTGCCTCCCAGGTTCAAACAATTCTCCTGCCTCAGCCTCCCAAGTAGCTGGGACTACAGGCGCGTGCCACCATGCCCAGCTAATTTTTGTGTTTTTAGTAGAGACCAGGTTTCACCCTGTTGGCCAGGATGGTCTCGATCTCTTGACCTCATGATCCACCTGCCTCGGCCTCCCAAAGTGCTGGGATTACAGGCGTGAGCCACTGCGCCTGGCTACTTTCAGCTTTCTTTCTATTCTTTCTTCACTGAGACAAAGTCAGGAGTTACCTCCCCCTCCTCCTAAATCTGGAAGTCCAAATCACTATAAATCTCCTTCTAATGGAATGATCATAGTCTGCCTCCTCTGACCATTATTTCTGAGAAAATCTTGTCTTCCTTCTAGACAGGGAGCTGCCTGGGAAGCAGAGACCCACCTCTGCCCTCCCCACAGTGCCAGGTTCAACATGAGGTACGTAGTAAATGTGCACTGAATCAAAGGATGAATGAATGACTAAATGGATGACATTGCAGTTACATCAGAAGCCGTGAGTGAGAGAAAATTAATTTGCAGATGGAATTATTACATTGTGTACCCAATCTTGCAAAACAATGAGGCACTGCTTGTAGGAGTTTCAAACACTTTTTCAGAAATTTAATTGCTAGTTAATTTTCCTGCAAAACACAATAACCTCTATGCACTAAAGGAAATAAGACACAGCTCTGAAAACCTCATTAGGCTGTGCCTGAAACCACAGCGGCTTTTTCCAAGTTAAGAACCTGAGAATGCAAGCTGCCATAATTGGCACTGTCTTTGTTCAGATGCAGGATGCCTTTACTCTGATTCCCCCACTCCTCATATCCCACTGAGAGGGCACGGCTCCCGCCTGCGACTGCAGAAGTGAGGGTGGCCTGAACTGAGCCATCCTCAATCTCTTTCTCACTGTGTTCTCTTATGATCAGAGCTTAGTCTGTAGAGCTCAGTCTATGACCAGAATCAAGGCTCTCTCTGTGACCAGGAGGAAGGCTCAGTCCGTGACCATGATCAGAGCTCAGCCTGTGACCAAAATGAGGGCTCAGTCTGTGACCATGACTACAGCATGGTCTGAGGGCAGGATCCAGGCTCAGCCTCCATGCATAGCCACAGCTACAGTCACACATGCACACAGCTTCACCTGAAATTAGAAGTGGGCCAAAAGGACAGACATAACGTAAACAGCAGAGGTTTCCGCTACACCACTCAACAAATTATTGAATTGAATTCAATAAATGTTAGATGAATCCTCAGAGTTCCAAGATGTGGTAGGACGTGGGTAGAAGGGGAAGAATGGGAAGGAGATGTCATCAGCCCTGGTGAATAAGGGCCCAGAACTCAGATGTGCCAGAGTTAAATCCTGCCCTGACCCATTTAAGCAACTCTTGGCCAGGAAGCTGGAAGTCTCACCTTCAGCTTCACAGTAACCCACATAGAACTCAGAGAGCTCCAGACGGCCTGCCTGGAGATGTGTGCCCTCCAGCCAGATGCTGTCAGCTCCGGTAGCTGTCACCTGCTAGGATATCACTGCTAAGTGGGTTAGCATTTGCCAGCCATTCTGCTGATTAATGGTGTGTAAAGTGGCTGTCTCATGGTGGCTGGGTCACCGTGACTCAAGCTTGGGAAACGCTGCAGTAACAGCAGAGAGCTCATCTCATGGGCAGAGGTGGGACTCTGAGAGGGTTAAATCTCAGTTGCTACTGTTTGGGGCATCCATGAACTCTTCGCAGCAGGATGTCCATTGCCCGGTCTCCCCTCTCTGCTTCCTCCAGTGTCCCCTATGAAGGACACCTTTGAAATGAGGGATGAGATGTAATGAAGCTAGATACAAAATTAATCAAATATGACACGAGAATTGATGTGGAATGCAATCCCGTCAGCAGATGATTCACCTCCTTGGAGTGGAGTTGCTTGTTTACTGTTTGCAGCATTTCTGAAGGACTCGGGCAAAGAGCAACACCAGGGATTATTTTTCAGAAGAAGGACTACAGACACAGAACACAATCACCAAGGGCCAGGTGCGGTGGCTCACACCTGTAATCCCAGCACTTTGGGAGGCCGAGGTGGGTGGATCACATGAGGTTAGGAGTTCGAGACCAGCCTGGCCAACATTTTGTACTTTACCAAAAGTACAAAATTAGCCGGGCATGGTGGCGGGCGCCTGTAATCACAGCTGCTCCAGAGGCTGAGGGAGGAGAATCGCTTGAACCCAGGAGGCAGAGGTTGCAGTGAGCTGAGATCAAACCATTGGACTCCAGCCTGTGCAACAAGAGCAAAACTCTTTCAAAAAGGAAGGAAGGAAGGAAGGAAGGAGGAAAGAAGGAAGGAAGGAAGGAAGGAAGGAAGGAAGGAAGGAAGAAAGAGAAAGAAAGAAAGAAAGAAAGAAAGAAAGAAAGAAAGAAAGAGAAAGAAAGAAGAAAGAAAGAAAGAAGGAAAGAAGGAAGGAAGGAAGGAAGAGAAAGAGAAAACAGTCACTCAGGAGGGTGGGTCTAATATTTAAATGCACTGAGATTCTTATATGTTGATTTTTCTTGTTTTGATCTAATTATAAGAAATGTCTAGGCCGGGTGCGGTGGCTCACACCTGTAATCCCAGCACTTTGGGGGGCCAAGGCGGGTGGGTCACCTGAGGTTGGAAGTTCAAGACCAGCCTGACCAACATGGAGAAACCCCGTCTCTACTAAAAATACAAAACAATTAGTCGGGCATGGTGACACATGCCCATAATCTCAGCTACTCAGGAGGCTGAGGCAGGAGAATCACTTGGATCCGGGAGGCGGTGGTTGTGGTGAGCCGAGATCACACCACTGCACTGCAGCCTGGGCAACTCCATCTCAAAAAAAAAAAAAAAAAAGAAAGAAATGTCTAAAGATGACTTCAAAGAACTTGATTGCTATGTATTAGAGCAGAAGCCATTCATTTATTTGTTCATGCATTCAGCACTAAAACTAAGCACCTACTGTGTGCCTGACCCTGTACTACGCACAGAAGCAAGCCAACCAAAATAGTAATAGTCTGGCTTGGGCACAGTGGCTCATGCCTGTAATCCCATCCCTTTGGGAGGCCGAGACGGGTGGATCACCTGAAGTCAGGAGTTCGAGACTAGCCTGACCAACATGGTGAAACTCCTTCTCCACTAAAAATACAAAATTAGCCAGGCATAGTGGCATGCACCTGTAGTCCCAGCTACTCAGGAGGCCGAGGCAGGAGAATTGCTTGAACCCAGGAGACGGAGGTTGCAGTGAGCCAAGATTATGCCACTGCACTCCAGCCTGGGCAACAGAGTGAGACACCATCTCAAAAATAATAATAGTAAAAATAGTCATTGCAGTAACAGTAGCAGTTGTTGTTATTGTTGCAGTTGTTAGCTAATATTAATTGAAGATTTACCATGTGCTAGACTTTGGGCTAACCACTTTGTAACCACCATCTTATTTAAGTCTCACATAAACTATGAAGTAGCTGCTATGAGTGTCCCCATTTTACAGATGAGGAAACTGAGTCACAAAGCAGTGAAACAACCTTCCCAGAGTCAAGTAAGTAGTAAGTGGTAAAGTTCGTAGCACAGGGCCATTCAGATCTTCTCGCCTCGTGATTTAAATTTTGAACAGAATGACTAAAAGTTTCAAATATGGTTTGGAATTTATCCCCCAGGCGTGACTGAACAAGACTTCTTCTTGCACTGCCCTGGTCGTTTTTCATGCCAAGCCTGGATCTTCAGCCTTCCCTTCCATCCTTCAACACCCCCCACCTTGTGTCAGTACATCCTGCGTTGCTTAAGTTAGCCAGAGTGGGCTTCTGTTGCTTACACTCAAAGAAAATTAACTGGAACAAGTAGTGAACTCCCCATGATAGGAGTATAGGAGAGCGGAAGCTGCAAGGGCATGCAGTGGGCTACAAGGAAGGGATTCACATGTGAAATGGTATATCAGTTACATTCTCCAAGGTGGCTGCAAAGAGGCTTTTCCCACGTCCTCTTCTAACCTTGCCACTTCCCCATTGAGTGGTGAGATCAGTATCCTCTTCCCTTAAACCTAGAAATACTTTGTGGCTGTCTCAGCCAAAACAGCATGGCAGAAGTAACATTATGTAACCTCCAGTGCTATGTCGCAATTTTTTTTGTTTTGTTTTGTTTTTTGAGACGAAGTTTCGCTCTTGTTGCCCAGGCTGGAGTACAACGGCGCCATCTCGGCTCACTGCAACCTCCACCTCCTGGGCTCAAGTGATTCTCCTGCCTCAGCCTCCCAAGTAGCTGGGATTACAGGCGAGTGCCATCATGCCCGGCTACGTTTTGTATTTTTAGTAGAGACGGAGTTTCACAACGTTGGCCAAGCTGGTCTCCAGCTCCTGACCTCAGGTGATCCACCCACCTCAGCCTCCCAAAGTGCTGGGATTCCAGGTGTGACCCACCGCCCCCGGCTGGGATGCTTCCTCTTAAAACCCCATGGCTATGCTGTATACCATCCCAAACTAGCGCACGCAGAGCGATCACATGGGGAAGCCAAGTAGAGGCGCTCCGTCCATCTGGCTCTGTCTGATGGTCAGCTTCAGATGTTATATATCATATCAACCTCCAGATATAAGTGAAGACATCTCCAGATGACTCCAGCCCAAAGCTATCAAGTGACTCCCCCCGCCGCCAACACCTGCCTTCAAATCTTTCCAGCAGAGGCCCCAGACACTATGGGGCAGAGACACACCATCCCCACTGGGTCCTGTCCAAATTCCTAACCTACAGAATCTGTAAATGTAATAAAAATGGCTGCATGACACCCCTCAGTTTTGCAGCAATAGCGACTAGAACTGATGGATGAAGAGACCAGCCCAACCTAGAAACTGTTATCCCAGGAACTTCCCACAGGAACTACTCCTCACACCCACAAATATGCCGAGGCAGGGGTTCTCATTGCTGACAACTTCTCCACTCTGGGCAGCCTAAGGTTTCAGAGGCCAGAGTCTGGGTGACACATCAAGCCCAGGATCTGAAAAACTAAGCCCGTGTGCTCAGCAGACAACCCATCTGCTGGGACAAAGTTTCAGGTGTTAACTGGGAAAAAGCACCTTCTGGGGAAGTATCTCATTTAGAAACTAGAGGAACAAGAGGTGAATCATAAATCCCTCTGAAGGGTGCATCCTATTTGTTATTCAGGGAAGGATCATTTGTATCTAAGGAACATCAAACAAACCAACAGAGCCTCCCTTTTGGGCCAGGGAGAGACGGAGCAGGTGAAATAAACAGGGTATGCAAAAGTGATAGCATCAGGAAGTTATCTAGAGAGAAACAAAATGTCCTGAGCCAGCTGAGAATTTCATTAAAGTAAGTCTTCAGTAACGGCAATGCTCTGTTCTTGTCACCACTGCAATCTGGCCATCTCTCTCCTGAAAGCGGAATGGTGTTCATGCTGAGGACAAGGACAATCCAGATACTCTCTGTCTCTGTCGTGTGTGTGTGTTTGTGTGTATGTGTGTCCATCCCCAGACCTCTGTCACCGTGCCCTTGTCTGTGAGTTGTGGCTAAAAGGACAGACTCCTGAGTCGGGATGCCTGGGTCTAAATCCTATGTGGCCTTGGGAAAGTTACTCATCCCCTCTTGAACTCAGTTTTCCCATCTGTTAAAGAGAGAGAGAGAGAGAGAGAGAGAGAGAGAGAGAGAGAGAGAGAGAGAGAGAGAAGCAAGCCCTGGCAACATAGAGAGGCGTCATCTCTACAAAAATAAAATTTAAAAAATAGCCAGGCATGATGGCATGCATCAATAGTCCCAGCTACTTAGGAGGCGGAGGTGGGAGGATCACTTGATCCCAGGAGATCAAGGCTGCAGTGAGCTGTGATTGCACCACTGCACTACAGCCTGAGCAACAGAGCAAGGTCCTGTCTCAAAAATTAAAAAGAGAGAGAGAGAATGATAATAGTATCTACTTCGTAGGGTTGTTGTGGGATTTAATTAACTATTAGCACAGACCATGACATTCAAGGAATTTCGGTTTTATTGTTTTATCATTATTACTGAGTGATTTTCTGGGCCTGTATGGGTATCTTGGTTGAGGGGCCCCATGTATCCGTGTGTAGATATATCTCTGTTTCTGTATGACTGCCTTTCCTTCCTTCTCCACACTGAACAATTCCTCTTCTCTGGATGAACAGAGAGTTAGAAACCACCAAAATGCCGTGAAAGAACTAAGAAAAATATGAGCCCAACTGGTTTGTGGTAGGCCTGGTAAGAAATGCCAGTTTCTATAATTACCAACCTCAAAATTTCAGTGATTTAACTAACACACGGTGGTTTCTTGTTCCTATCACGACTTGAAACAAGATAAGACATTGTCCTGGGGTCGCTCCTCCAAGTAGGGATTCAGGGATTCAAGCTCCAGCTGTCTTAGAAAACCACCATTCAGGAAGCCTGGAGGGTTGAGTGGAATGTTTTTAGCTCAATCCTGGAAAAGACTTACATCAGTTCTGCCCATATTCCTCTGGTTAGAACTCAATGTGTGATGAACAATAACATTGACTTTGCCACAGAGAAATGTCACTTTCTGTTGGTAAAGAAAGGTAGCACCTATTAGGACTCAGACCCATTGTATTTAACATGCTGTTACTCCTGGGGTGGGAAGTGTTACTAAAAACCCTACTCTCCATCCACTTCTTCCTCTCTATCCTGCCCTAGACCAGGACACTATCCCCTCTTTCTAGAACTGCACAATATCTGCCCATTGTTCTCCCTGCCCCGTCTCCAGCCTTCTCTTTTCTAAAGCAGCTGATATCATTGGAATGTTGTGTCCTCTCCACATCTCATGTTGAAATGTGACCTCAAGTGTTGGAGGTGGGCATAGTGGGTGTTCGGATCATGGGGGCAGATCCCTCATGAATGGTTTTGTGCTGTTCTTGCAGTTATGAGTGACTTCTCTCTCTATGAATTCACATTAGATCTGGTTGTTGAAAAGAGCCCAACACCTCCTCCCTCTCTCTTGCTCCCTCTATCACCATGTAACACACTGGCTCCCCTTCGCCTTCCACCATGACTGTAAACTTCCTGAGGCCCTCACCAGGAGCATTTCCCAGCACTATGAGTGTACAACCTGCAGACCTGTGAGCCGAATAAACCTCTTCTCTTTATAATTTTCTTTAAGACGGAGTTTTGCTCTTGTTGCCCAGGCTGAAGTGCAATGGCATGATCTCAGCTCACAGCAAACTTTGACTCCTGGGTTCAAGCGATTCTCCTGCCTCAGCCTCCCGAGTAGCTGGGATTACAGGTGCCCACCACCCCATCTGGCTAATTTTTTGTATTTTTAGTGGGGCTTCACCATTTCTTTATAAATTACCCATTCTCAGGTATTCCTTTATAGCAATGCAAAGGGACTATAACAAAGCAGCCAAGTCAACTAAAATGGAGATGTGAGCCCTCCCTCTCATATACAATAGTTGGCTCTTAGAAGTAGAGTCAAACCCTTGAGCTTACAAGGCCTTTCCTGCCAACCCTCCTCCTGCTCATCTGTCTCCACTCTTCTCTTTGAACTCTGGGTTCCAATTCGACTTCAACAGTTCCTCAACTTCACTGTGCTATTCTCATCTCTGTGCCACATTTGGCGCCTCTGCCTGAAACACACCTTCCCTTCCCACCCACCTCTGGCTCCTCTAGCTGCATAATTCCTGCCCATTGTTCAAGCCTCACCTTGAAATTGGCTCCACAACCCCAAACTGGATTAAGTCTCCTCTTCTTCCCTCCCATAGCACTTTATCCTAAATTTCATCCCTCTTCATAGTTAAGCTACCTGGGATTCCCACTAAATTCCAAGCTCCAAGAGGACAAGCAATGTGTCTATAGCCCATTCACTGCTGTCTCCCCAGCAGCAATAACAGTGCCTAAGATATAGTGTCTCCCATGTCTTTTTGGTACCCAAACCAGGACTTTGCACACAGAAGAGGAAAAAGGAGGAATTGACTCATATTGACAAGTAACATAAAAAAATTATTTCTCACCTCCATCCATCAACTTCGACAGTACATGAAACCAGTCAGTATGTGAGTCAGAAATTAGGCAGAGGTGACGCTGGGATCCAGATTCAGTTGTGAGTTGTGTGGTGGGATCCGTTTCAGGCCCTGGGATTATCAAAGGCATCCCTGCGGAGCCATCCGCTCATTAAACAGACCGTAGGGAGAGTCAGGCATTTTCTTCAGAAATCCCACCCTCTGTGGTAGTTAATTAGTCTTAGCTTAAGGTAATTGGCTTTTCTCCTCAGGGCAATATTATCTGAGACCTAAACTAGCACCAGCTGCCCAGGAGCC
The DNA here is from genome assembly GCF_000001405.40 of Homo sapiens. Classification (NCBI taxonomy): domain Eukaryota; kingdom Metazoa; phylum Chordata; class Mammalia; order Primates; family Hominidae; genus Homo; species Homo sapiens. The sequence goes on along the minus strand of NC_000017.11, from coordinate 5,711,438 downwards.
AGCAGCCGCTCCAAGACTCCAGTGTCTTTCCAGAGGTAGGTGGGGAAGAAGCCGAAAGAGAGAGTTTCTTCAGATCACAGAGGGAAGAGAGATTGGGATTTCACAGAACATTTTCCAAAACATGAAGGGAAAGAAAGTCAAACAAAGCAATAGCTTGGCAACAGATGGTGAGCAATATCAGTTGGGAAAATCTCTTTTGGGGTTGAAAGGAAAAACTGCAGAGATGCCTCTATCAAGGGTGTCACTGACTCCCACCTGCCTGGGACGTCTTTATTTTCTAGCCTAAAATGTTTCATCTGAGGGAAGATCAAATCCAAAGAGCTGTCTCGCACCTTTCATCTGAACCAGCATGAACATGTCTCAGAAGGCACAGAAATGAAAGCTCAATAGAGTCTTAGCTCAGTCACCATTCAGGACCAACGTTAGGAAGCAGGGTGCTGGGGATGGGGTTGCTGGTTTCCATCATAGACACTTCAGAGCTGCACCATGAGTTTTGACAAGGGCAGAGGGTGGTCGGCCTCCTCATGGCAGGCCAGGATCGGGAGGACTATTGCCCAGACACAGATCCACATCACAGAAGTTACCAGAGGACAACCACAAACTGTCTCCACCTATGCAAGGTTTTCCCAAACCTCTGCCAAGCATGGGTCACCTAAGCCATATGACATCATGTACCTCTTCCTAAGATGTATTGAGAATGGCAAAACATCACTTCTGTGGTATGCATGAGAAAATACCAGACAAACCCAAGTTAAGTGATGATCTACAAAATAACTGGCCAGTTCTCTTCAAACTTATCAAGATCATGAAAGATAAAGACATAAGAACTGTCACAATGTGGGGGAAATTAAATAGCTGGGACTACTGTATTAGTCCACTCTCACACTGTTACAAAGAAATATCTGAGACTGGGTGATTTATAAAGAAAAGAGGTTAATTGGCTCATGGTTCTGCAGGCTGTACAGGAAGCATGGCTGGGGGGTCTCAAGAAACTTACAATATAGTAGAAGGTGAAGGGGAAACAGGCACATCTTCACATGGCCAGAGGAGGAGGAACAGAGAGGAGGAGGAGGTGCTGCACAGTTTTAAACAACCAGATCTCATGAGAACTCTATCACAAGAACAGCACCAAAGGGGGAAATCCACCCCATGATCCAATTACCTCCCACTAGGCCCACCTCAAACACTGGGGATTGCAATTCGACATGAGATTTGAGTGTAGACCTATCAATCAAACCATATCAACTAGTAAAGGCAATGTGGGATCTTGGATTAGATCTGGACAAGAAAAAGGACACTAGTGGGAAAACTGGCAAAATTCAAATAAGGTCTGTAGATTAGTCAAGAGTATCAAATCGATGTTAATTTTCTGGTTTCCATAATTGTCCTGCGGTTATGTAAGGTGTTAGCACTGGTGGAAGCAGAGTGAAGGGAATATAGGAAGCCCTGTACCATTTTTGCCACCCTTCTGTATGTCTAACATTACTTCCAAAAAAAAAGTAAATAAATCTGAGCACAAGCTTTTTGTAATGAAATAAATTTATTTTCAAAGGAAATTTGCAATCACTCTCCAACAAAGAAAAATCAGGAACATTAGCCAGTAAATAAAATTAACTGGTAAAAAATGAATACAGTGATTACCAGGAAATGAGGATTGGTCAAAGGATACAACATGTTAGTTAAATACGAGGAATGAGTTCAAGAGGTCTATTGTACAACATAGTGACCATAAGTATGTATTGTATTCTTGAAAATTATGCTAAGACAGTAGATTTTAAGTGTTCTTACCATAAAAAAATGGTAAGGATGTGAAGTAATGCGTATGTTAAATAACTCAATTTAGTCATTCCACCACATATACATTTCAAAACATCACATTGTACATGATAAATATATTTAGTTTTTATTTGTCCATTAAAAACAAATTAATTTTTTTTAATGAATCCAGTGAAAGCTAAGTACTACTGCCCACCGAAGGCTCTGAGTTCAAGGGAAAATTAGCAACTGCTAGAGAAGTGTTAAAATACATCAGCATCCAGCTGGGACTTTCTCCCTGATGGAATCAGAGGAGCAGTAGAGATTTGGAAAGTGAATCATTTTATCACTGCGTGATTCATTGTTCATTAGTATCTTTTCTGTGTACCTTTTAAAAATCGTCTCTGGTACCACCTAAAATCACATACCACTCTGGGAAAACACTGCTTTTTGAAACCTCATGGTGAGGTTTGAAGACTGTGGGGCTGTAGAACAAGAATCAGAACTTCTGCTGCAGTAAAGAGGCATCCTCAAAGTAATATCCCTATTGTGGGGAAACAACAGTTGTCATATACGGATGGTGAGAGTGTAAATTGGTTCAACAGTTTTGAACATACTCTTTGACCTGGTAATTTCTCCTTCCAGGTACTTGTCCTGCAATATAATTATGAGTCATTACAATATTGTTGTACAAGTTGAGCATCCCAAATCCAAAATCATCATTTAATGCTTCAAAATTCAAAACTTTTTGAGTACCAACATGACACTCAAAGGTAAATGCTCATTGAAATATTTCAGATTTCAGATTTCTGGATTAGGGATGCTCAACTAGTAAGTACATAATGCAAACATTCCAAAATCCAAAAAAATCTGAACTCCAAAACATTTCTGGTCCTAAGCATCAGATAAGGGATATTCAACCTATAATAGGAAAAGACAGAAGCAACCTACCCATCCATCAATAAGGAACATACTATAAGATGGAATATTATACAGCCATTAAAATTGAGAGACATGTACATGTACCAATACAGAGCAATTTCCAATACACATTATGTGAAGAAAGCAAGGTGCACAATATTGTATATATGTTCCCATACAGTTTAGAAAAAAAGTAAACATATATATTGTATCAGTTAGCAATTGCTACATGACAAACATCCCCAAAACTCAATGACATACAACAATAAGCATTATTTTCAGGCTCAAAGGTGTGCAGTCAGTTGGGACAGTTTTCTTTTTCTTCTACACTCCCACAGATAGGCTGGAGTGGCTCCAATCCACAGCTCTCATTCTTCTGGGATCAGCCAGCTAGCTAGGGCTTATTCCTCTCATGGTCATGGCAGAAGCACTAGAGGAGATTTCTACCAACTATATTTCAAATCTTTGTTCATGTCACACTGGTTCATATCCCATTAGCCAGAGTAAGTCATGGCCAAGTCCAATACCAATGGGGCCAGGGAGCATTTTCCTGGGAGGAAGAGAAGGAAAGTGGATATTTGCTGAACGGATATTTCTAAAAGTCCTAAAAATCATCTAAGTGAGATAGATAGATGGATGTATAAATACTTGAGATGTCACTCTTTGCACATATATATTGGACATATGGAAAGTCTCTAAGGAAGCGCACACAAGGAGTAATAATAGGTTGTATCTAGAGAGAAGAAGTGGGAGACAGGTAGGAAGGGAAGCTTATCTTTCATCATCTTTTTGTGAGATTTGATTTCTGGTATAATTTGCATATATCATGTTTTGCAAAAGAAAATCAAACACCACCTTTTCATCCACAAGGCATTTCCATATTGATTCTCTTCTTTGACACTCACACTGGAGTGAGGCATAAGGCAGGCAGAAGAGGGAGCTGACCCCACTTTGTGGATGAGAAGAAAACCAAGATCCAGCCAGGGAAGCCAACTTGCCATAGACCGGACAGCTAAAACAGGGCCAGGCCAGGGCTTGGACCCAGATCTGTCTTACACTGCAGACCCAAAGCGTCGCACAGCACCATGCGTCTTGCTGCATGGGCCACTGACCAGGGCAGGGTCCCCCTGTGGACCGCCATAGGGGTAAAACCCCTCAGGCCCAATGCACACCACAAGGGAGAGACTAAATGTGGACAGCCCTCAGAGATTGCTTTGTCCAACCAGGTCCTTTTTTTTTTTTTTTTTTTTTGAGACAGGGTCTCACTCTGTTGCCCAGGCTGGAGTACAGTAGCACGATCTCAGCTCACTGCAACCTCTGCCTCCTGGATTGAAGCAATCCTCCTGCCTCAGCTTCCCTAGTAGCTGGAACCACAGGTGCCCACCACCAAGCCTTGCTAATTTTTGTATTTTTTAGTAGAGACAAGGTTTCACCATGTTGGCCAGGCTGGTCTCGAACTCCTGACCTCAGGTGATCTGCCCGTCTCGGCCTCCCAAAGTGCTGGGATTACAGACAACCAGATCATTTTACAGATAGGCAAAGAAAGGCCAGAATCACAAAGCATGGCCCTTCCTCTCCCTGAATGTCCATCTCCCCATTGGCTCAGATAAGACCTTAACATCCACCTGAGAGGGTTGATGGAAGGAAAGCATTTTGCAGCCCAGGGAGTGTGAAGCATGATTTCAGGAACTGGCTTGCCCCACATTCATTCCCCACAGGACCGCCAGGAGGCAGCACCTTCTCCCTTTCTCTGGCTCAGGAATATGTAAACTGACCAACGCTAGAGCAGCTGGGTTCTCATGAGAGCCAAAGCACTGCTTTCAAGAAAAGCCAAAGGGCTTTGAGCCACTCATGCCTCAGAGAGCAGGTTGTTCTGCAATCGTGCATGTTAGTTTTGTAAGCAAATATGTCAGAGAATTGTTCTGCAGCGGATTTCATGCCTGAACCGGGATTGGGTTTATGTGGCCTCCTTTGCAGCTCAACACATAAATCGCTCCCTTACAAAAGCTCTGTCCCTGCGGGAAGGGCCTAGGTGGCTGCAGCACTAAAAACCTCCTCCTCCCTCTCCCACCCCAGATGGGTTTTCCTTGTGAGTCTCCTTCCCCACGGTGTCCCAGGAGGACAGCATCCTCTCTTGTCTGAGTGCCCTCCTCTCCCTTTGTCATCATCAGGCCCCACACCTGCTCAGAAGGCAGCAAAGAAGCAGGTAGGAGGAAACAAACCAAGGCACCAGATGCTGGTAAAGTAAGTGGGGCCCGTGGAGTCCCACTTAAGCCATTTTCAACTTTGCATCAAATGGAAATTTCTGCAAGCCGCACTGAAAGCTCCTACAATGACTAATGTCGCCAAGCAAGCTCTAGGAACGAATAGATGCTAATTATTTTGTGGAAGCCGAGACAAGTAGAGAATTTAAACAGAGGGCCTCACTAAGCAGATGGTGGGAAGTCTGAAGGCCCAGAAAGGCAGGCCTGCCCTGAGCACCGCCGCGCAATTGCTTAGCTCAGGGACCAGCTTGAAGTCCCTAGGTCGGCCAAGGTACCCCTCTGCCCAGCTCCCCATATGGCCTCCCAGCACTGGGCCCCCACTGGCTTTGCAGCTGGCCAAAGCTGGGCTTCTGGAGCTTCCTTCATAATGCAGGAAGGCCGGGAGGCTGGCATGAAGGTGAGCAACACCCAGGAGCTCATCAGGGAACCCCATCATTGACATCCCAGGGCTTTGGGAATAAGGTGTTTAATGCCACTTTTAAGCCTACCCCCTGCCCCCAGGAAGAAGAGGCACAGAAGAAGAGGTGTGTTTTCTTTTCCAAGATACACTGAAAAGGGCTTAAAACCAGAGAAGCAATGGGCTCAGCATCCCACCTTCCTCAGCCCAAACTGACCACAGGAATCCTGGCCGGGGCCTAGGTTCTCCCTCCCAGAAGTGATCCTCCCAGGCTAGGAGGTTGGAATCTGGCCATTTTCCACCCTAGCCCGCTGAACAACTGAACATGGCTAGCTTGTTCCTCTGTGGCCTCAGCCCAGGCCATTGTCTTCCTGGAATGCTCACCCTTAACCCTCTAATCACCTCCTACTGGACCTTCAGTATTCCCGGGTCACCTCCTCCCGACCCTCTCCTTGAGCCCCTCCCCTCCTGGCTGGGATCACCCAGTCCCCTGTGCTTGGCCTGCACTGCACTCGCTGCCCTGAAGTGTAAAGTGACTTTGAGTCCCTGGAGGACAGGGCCTGGCCTGGGGTCAGCATTCGGGAAACTACCTCCCTGGAGGTGAGCTGGCACCTGGAGAGCAAGGTCAGAGCCAGCCTCCCTCCAGATGGGAGCTAGCACGACCCCACACCCCACAGAGATAGTGGCAGCTCATTAAGAAGACGCAGGAGGTGGCAGGGAGCGGGGATGCTCTCAACTTCCCACTCCCTTTCATCTACTCAAGAGGCTTCGTCCCAAAGCAGTTGCAGAAGCCACAGAGAAGAGTGCTGCAGGGGCAAAGGAATTGCAAAAATCCCCAAGAACATGGAACCCACCCATCCTGCCCCCTGCAGGAGAGTTGGGGAAGGATAGCCAAAGGCAGAGCCAGACCAGGGCCACGTCCCCTGATTTCTAGTGCCAGGCCCTCTTGCCCACTCACAGACAAACTGACAATATTAATGGCAGAGGCACTCACATTAGGGCTCACTGTGTGCTTTACACGGGTTAACTCATTTAATCCTCTCATGTATATGGGAGTATATATATGCAGAATGTCACGACTGTTACAAAGACAGGTTGAGGCCAGATGGACCACCCCCCTGCCATCCCATATTCATATTTGTAACCCAAATGATACATATGAGGTCACAGCATCAATCCTCTCAATGCCTCAAGAGGCTAGAAACTATCACCATGAGTTGGTTATAAATAAGGAAACTGCGGCACAGAAGGGTTAGCTCATTTATCCAGGGTCACACAGCTCATAAGTTGCAGAGCTGGGATTTGAACTGTGGCTGCAGAGCCCACATGACTAAACAGGCATTCTTCCATCCACACCCTGACATGGAACAATGCCAGTGTACTCAGCTGATGCTTTGGGAGTCCTTACCCAACAGGACCTTCCTCGATCCAGAAGAGGATGCCCAAGAGTGGAGGTCAACTTTCTGGGGAAAGGACTAACTCCGATGTGTTTTCTGAATAGCACCCACTCGGTCATCTCTGTGGAGTATATATATTGACATATATCTCATATATATGTTAGACAGACAGACAGATAGATCAGCCATATCCATTATTTCTCATCACTAATCTATTGCCTGGTTCATTTCAAATGATTAAAGCATCCTGGGTTTTCCCTGCAAGTTGTGATACCTGGTGCAGAGAAAGCCCAGTGGACACTTCAAGGAAGAAGACCTGAATTCTGGTACTAACTCTGCTTATCTCATTAGCTGTGTGACCCTGGACAACATGGTGAACCTCTCTGAGCCAGTGCCTGATTACTCAGCAGTGTACGGAGATGTAATACCTTCCCTCCTATAGCACCATGCTAGGCACCAAAAACTGGGAGATGAGCAGAGCGTAGGCCCCATGCTGCTCCAAGGCTAGCAGCCAAGGGAGACAAGGACAAAAGCCATCACAGTGTCTGGCCAAAGTGAGGACACAAAGACAGGAGTGCTCAGACTGCATCAGAGGGGACAAGGAAAAGACATCATGAAGCTGGAGAACCCTGAATGGAGACTTGGAAGACAAGTTGGAGGTCTCCAGAGTGGAAGGGCTTGCAGGCAGGTAGGGCAGCCTAAGCAAGGCAGGCATGAGGCAGATGTGCATGGAGAAGGGGGAGTGGTTCTTAGGGGAGCTCTGGATATGAGGGGGTGGGATGGAGGACGGCAAGTGAGACGAGGGCTGCAAAGCCACTTTGTAACATGAGAGCTGGAAAGGCCCTTGGAGGACATCCACCCACAGGCTGCAAACTCACATACCTCCAGGGCTTAGGCAAGTGATAGCAATAAGTGAACTGGGCCAGGTGTGAGACAGTAGGAAGGGGTGGGGTGCATGGCAATTAGAAGGTAGGACCTGCCTAAAGGTACCCAATTTTTGACCTTCGTGAAACATGTCTGCAAGATGAATTTGAGCTTATAAACTCCTGCTCCATTCTGATCTTTTCACTATGCAGAATGCCATGACTGTTACAAAGACAGGTTGAGGCAGCTGAACCATCCCCCTACTATCCCATATTCATATTTGTAACCCAAATGACACATATGAAGTCACAGCATCAAGCCCCAAGACTGTTTCCCCTAGTTCCCTCCCTCTGTCTTCCTCTCTCAGTCTCAATTTCCACTGGGATCCTGGTCTCCAGCACAACACCCTGTTCTTCCCACACTTTCTGCTGTTGCCACTGAGCCAAGTCTGCTGCCCACTTCTCCACTGCCCCAGGCGCAGATCCCCCGGGATGCTCCCCTGTTCTTGCTCCATAATCGCCACTGCAGAGTGGCTGCAGACACGCTCCCTCACCACTAACTTCATACACCTAGATGGGCTCCCCAAGGGTTGCTTGGGCCCTTGGGAGTTATAGCTCTCTTTTTGACAATAGCAACTCTTCCCAGAGTAAACACAAGTTGCCATGGCGATTGGGTCAACAGGTAGCAAGGGAGGACTTTCAAGCAGCAGCCATTATGTTGTTTCTCAGAACAAGCCCTCCTCTGACTCCCAGGCCCCCTTTCTGAGCATTGTTTGCTCTGCTCCCTTTGTCCTGGGCCCCTTGCCATTTACATGGATAGAAGGAGCTGGGGCCCCAACCCAGGCTTGCTAAGCACATCCATAAATGCCTGTGTTCCCGTTGTCTTAGTCTGTTTTCTGTTGCTATTGCTATAACAGAATACCACAGACTGGGTGATTTATTTTTCTAAAAAAGAAGTTCATTTAGCTCATGGTTCTGGAGGCTGGGAAGTCCAAGTACACGGCACCAGCATCTTGTAGGGACCTTCATGCTTTGTCATAACAAGGCTGAAGTTATCACATGGCAAGAGGGCAAGAGCATGCCAGCTCAGGTCTCCATTCCTTTTCTTATAAAGCCTCCAGTCCCATCCCAGCAGCTTCACTCTGATGCCCTTATCTAATCCTAATTACCTCCCAAAGCTCCCACTCCTAATCAACATATGAATTTGGGGATTAAGTTTTCAACACATGAAATCTGGGGCACACATTCAAATCATAGCACCAGTCAAGGACAGTCTGCCGGCCCCTAGAGATCAATGGAGGTAAACATATCTGAGAGAGAGAGGTTGTCACCTCCACCCATCAGAGATACCCAAATCTCAGCTCCAGCCCAGATAAAACCTCTGCTATGTGTGTGCAATCCTAAACACACACACTCACAGTATGAAAAATTGAGGAAGGTGTTTAAAAATCACCCAAATCACCTCCTTTGAGAGGGAAAACACTATATACACTTCCCATGGTTTTTTTCTTACCCTTCTTTCTAAGATTATGTGGAGAAAGAGAAATAAACATATAGATTTAATGGTTGAAACATATGTACATGCAGTTGTATACCCTACTTTTTTGTTTGACATTATATCATAAGCATTTTCTTATTTCATTAGAATTCTTTACATCATTTTTGAATGATTCATAATAATTTACCAAATGGATATACTACACTCTACCATTGTCTTAATGGTGGGATATTAAGATTAGATCTAATTTAATGCTGTAACAAACATTATTGTCTCTATCTCTGATTATTTTCCTAGGCTGTATTTCTAGAAATGGAATTCCTAAGACAAAGAGTATAAATATTTTAAAGTTTTGATAACGCTTGCCAAATGCTCCCTAAAAAATTATTTTTCTATCATCTACATTTGAAAACTCCTGTCTTAGAACATCCTGTATACTATGCTGTTTAAAAAATTAAATATAGGTATATGTATACACATGTGAAATTGCAAGACTTCGATTTGCAATTAACATAAATTGAGAAGCACTGAATTTAAGTGCAATTTATATTAAAAGGATGTTCTTCACCTGGCCCTGGTCTTTAGGACAACAGGCCTCACGTTTGAAGTGCTGGTCAGCCCTGGATGGCAGTCCCTGCCAGTAATGAGTTAGAGAACCCATAGCCTTTACACCCCCCTGTTCTCTCTGACTTCTCCACTGCTGGCCGAGTCACTGACTGGGAGGTGGATAAATGGCTCTGTTGGCTGCCCTTGTTCCCAGAACCCACTTCCTAGCAATACAAGGGGCCCATTTGTCATTCTGCCACAGAGCTCAGCTCTGCCAGATATCTCATTCTGCCTCCCCTGCCAAGGACATGGTTCAGAAGGGCCAACTCAGATCTCAGGCTTTATGGAGCACTGGACAGAGCACCTGAGTGAGTACCGGGAGGTCCAATGTCTAACTGGCTGTGTGACCTTGGGCCAGCTATTGAGTCTCTCTGGGCCTGAGGGTCTTCAGCTGGACTCTACCATCTCCAAGGCACCCCACCCCCATCTCTCTGGGTCCCAGATGAGAAAATGGCCACTTTGGTCCTACTGATGGGCAGAGCCTGGCCACCTCCCTAAAGTCATCAATGAACAGAGCTGAAATAATATTCCAGGTCATGTAGAGGTAGGCAGTACCACATGGAGTTGGAGCAGAGACTGGAGACATTGGAAAGAATCAGGGAAGCTCCAAGACCATTCTCTATGTCCTGGCAGGATAAAGCCAAGTCTGGGGGAAAGTCAGCATGTGGAAAAGTGCAGCAAAAAAGGAAAGAGCTAGAAGACAGAGGCAGCTCCCAGCGCTGCCATGACCTGCTGGGCTCTGAGCGCCAGCCTGCTGTGGCTAACAGTGGCTCCCTACTGCCATGTGAAAGGCACATCTCCATCAGCTGTGGGTGAGAACAAAGCCCAGCCTGCTGTCTTTTCCATGGAAACCTGTGTTGCCAGATGTTCAATTCCTGTGGAATATATCCTGAGAAAAAGTAGGGAAAAGGTTCAGAGGATGGGAGGGGAAGTCCACAGATTTAAGAAATAGGAACAGTTGGTTTCAGACTCCAGGAAGGAGAAAAGGGGCTTTTGCTTTCTGTCTTTTCCCCTGTCCCTGAGTTTAAATGAAAGCGGCTGATTGATCAGCCGCCTCTCTTTAAAAGGAAGCAAACAAGGTGCTTTCAAGTTGTACGTGGGTGTGTCTCCACCGTCTTGACGCCAAGTGAAAAATGCAATTCTATTTATTTCATTGCTTTTAAATCTGACTAGGGATTTTATTTTGTTCTAGTAAATTGCCACTTGCAAGAGCCTCGGGTGCCAATGCAGTTCCTGGAAATGAGGGATAAGATTGAGCACAGAAGACTCAAAAATAACCGGGCGCTCCTCAGAGGGATCTGTGTCTTGGCAAGGAGGAAAATCACCCCAATGCTGCCTGTGATTCCAGACCCAGGGCTAGTCAGTGGGACCCAAGACCATGAACTCTGCTCACACTGCAGAAGATGCGGAGCAAGGGGCCTGGGTTTCTAGTCACCATGCTATCCAAGAGCTGCTCTGTAGACGTTTCAGGCCATTAGTACAAAAATAAATAAATAATGCAGGAGTCCCCAGTAGCTGGACGTTGGTGGAATGTTAAATACATTTGTGCTAGCCTCAGGAGTTTAGCTGTGCCCAAGCTGTGACCCTCACGCAGCTCCCAAGCAGAGAACATCGTGGCTCGCTGCCCAAAGAAGATGCACCCAGGACCTCTCAGCCAGGAAACCCCACCCCCTCTTCTGACACTGCCTCAGTCTCTTGCCTTGCCTTGCATCCCGATGAATATTTTACCATATGGGTTGGGCGATTGCTCTGAGGCTTTGTGAGTGCAGAGGGCAGAGGCAGCTGGAGAGGAGGAGAGGGAAGGGGTTCCTATTGGTGTAGACTCAGGGATGTTGACCTGCACAGCGGCTAAATCCGGCCTTTGTGCTAGTCCTCCAGGGCCCCCCCTCCTTCTTTTCTTGCAGCTATTCCTTTCCCCCATCCCACTTGGGGGTGTCCACCCCCTTCCCTTTTCCCCCAGGAGGTGATACCCCTCCCTGAAGGAATAATCTAATCTCAGCCCCCATCAGTCTCAGCTGTTGTCTTGCAAATTTTGCAGCCTCAGAGCTTGAAGGTTAGTGGCAATGAATTCTCCCTGGAGGAAGCAGAGAGGCCTCATTCACCTGAGTGCTTCTTCAGCTCACCATGTCCCTGGCTTTGGTTGTACATCTCCGGGGATGTGCACCTCATGGCCCCTAAAGGCAGCCCTGCCCAGCAAAGCTGGTGAGAAAATGTATTCATTAAACCCCCAAATGTTTCCTGCTGCCTATCAGTGCCAGGCACTGTGCTGGGAGCTGAGAGTATAGCAGTGAGTAAGGCAAGGGTTGTTTCTGGTACCATTAGAAGTAGACATTAAATAATTATATGAAAAAATTATGACTGTGGTAACTGCTACAGAGAATAGGATACTATGAGGATATATAAGAAGGAGGACTGGCCTCACTTAGAAGATCTGGAAAAGTTTCTCTAAGGAAATGATACTTAAGTTGAAAATTGAAGGGTTGGCAGAGATTGGCCAGGAGGAAGATAGAAGATTGTTCTGGGCAGAAGAAACTGCATGTGCAAAGGCCCTGAGGCTAGAGGCAGGGGGCATTGTGCATACAAGAAATTCCAAAGGATGACAGATGGAGTACAGTGAGCAAGGGACCAAGGAGTGCAAGATAAGCCTGTTGTAACCACCCAAGGGGTTCACCTTGCCCACTGCCTGGACAGAGCCAATTCATCAAGACAGAGGAATTGCAATAGAGAAAGAGTAATTCATGCAGAGCTGGCTGTGCAGGAGACCAGAGTTCTATTATTACTCAAATCAGTCTTCGGAGCATTCGGGGAGCAGAGTTTTTAAGGATAAGTTGGTGGGCGGGGAGAAGGAAGAGAGCCAGGACTGTTGATTGGTCAGAGGTGAAATCATAGGGAGTTGGAGCTGTCTTCTTGTGCTCAGTCAGTTCCCGGGTGGGGGCCACAAGATCAGATGAGCCAGTTTATTGATCTGGGTGGTACCAGCTGATCCATCAAGTGCAGGGTCGGCAAAACGTCTCAAGCACTGATCTTAGGAGCAGTTTAGGGAGGGTCAGAATCTTGTAGCCTCCAGCTGCATGACTCCAAAACCATAATCTCTAATCTTTGCTTATGTTTCTAATCTTGGCACATTTCTAATGTGACACTTGTTAGTCCTACAAAGACAGTCTAGTCCCCAGACCAGAAGGAGATCTGTTTTGGGAAAGGCTGTTACTGTCTTTGTTTAAACTGTAAACTATAAAGTTTCTCCCAAAGTTAGTTCAGCCTACGCCCAGGAATGAACAAGGACAGCTTGGAGGTTAGAAGCAAAACAGAGTCAGTTAAGATAGATTTCTTTCACCGTCTCAGTCATCATTTTGCATAGGCAGTTTCACTGTTACAAGTCAAGGGCCGCATGAGCAGGACCGTGGGGGTCACGTTAAAGATTTCTGCCTTTCTCCTAAGGGTAATGAAGTGGAATTGAAAAGTGTTCAGCAGGGGAGTGAGGCAAAAAGTTCTCCCCTACACAAATAAAAACCCCACTTTCTGTAAGTTACAGCGTTCAGCTCCATTTTACCTTTAGGGGTCACAGGATGATAACGACAACAATGGAAATTTGTCATAGTACGTGTTGGGTGCTGGCTACCACTGTGAGTGCTTTCTAGCGATAATCCTGTGAGATGGGTGCTGTCGTTGTCTCCATTTTACAGGACAGGTGCTGAGAGAGGGTGTAGCTTGCCCAAGATCTCACAACTAGCATGTAGTGGAACCAGGAAAGGAACCAAGGCAGTCAGTTTCCAGGGGCTGAGCTGGTAGCCACCAGGGTATTGACACAGGCAGCACCTGCTTTATTAAGATGGAGCTTCACACATTGGGAGACAGCAATCCTGCCTCTTCTTTGCCTGAAGGAAGAAAGGAAGGGGAAGGAGCATTAAATGAGCATCTGCTTTCCTTAAGTAATTTGCCCAAGGTTCTGCAGCTGGTCTGATTCCACAGCCTATGCCCTCTCCAATACATCAAATATTCTCAATTATTTTCTACTCAGTTCTCCCAACTAGTGGATTAGCTGTCCTTTCCAGCACTGTGTCATCAAGAAGTCTGACAAACACTGCCGTGTCTCATGGAAGTCGTCCCGGACAAAAGGGCTGTGGCAGGTGTGCACCAGAGAGCTCTTCATTCAGCCATCAAACAGGCTTATAGCCATCAAATGGGCCTCCATGTTTAACCCACCATGCTTATTCATCACATCGGGAATGCTTCTCCCTCTGGTCCTCAAGGAGATCATGCCCATTGTCAAGTGTTTTGCAAAAATCAAAATACAGCATGCAGAGTTATAGAAAGGGTCCCAAAGCAGAGATAGAAGAGATCAATTTGAGTCTACATTGCATAACTTAGCTGCGTGCTCCGGGGTAAATCCCATTTTCTTTCTGTTTCCTTGTCTGTAAAATGGGCATGTTATACTTCCCTGCCTATTTCCCAAGGCTGTTATGAAAGAGGGGGGAAAATAATAGTAAAGGAAAATGCCTTGAAAACCAGGAAATATTTTCTAGCTATGAGATTGTTTTAGAGTGTTTTCATGCTAGAATGGGCTAATAATTCTCTCAGGGAAATCCTTGGGTATGACTTTTTCTCAGGGAACCCACATTGGCTCCCTGGCTTCACTATTTTCTTTTTCCTTGCTCACAACTCAGCTGTTGAGCTGGAGGTTGTCATCTAACTCACTAGCTGTAGTCTTTCATCTACAATCTCCCTTTAGATTTCCATTCTAAATTATGGAATCTCACGGTGAGAAGAGACTCTACAGGTGAAATCATCTGGATTTCACCATGGGCCTCTATAATACACCTCCCTCACTGGCCACACAGAATTCCTGCTGCCCCATTGTGGTGGACATGATTGTCCTGGTGAAGTTTGGCCTAGTGCCAGTGCAGCCTCACGGCCACACCTATGGAAAATGAAGAAAGCCCATGCTTACAATTCCAACTAAGCTCAAAGAGGTCAGGAATTCACACTAAGGATGATAGAGCAGGACTGTCCATTGCCCCCTCAAGACAAGGGGGCTCCAGGGCACTGGGTTCATGCTGAGCCTCAATATTCCAGAAGCCTGGGCAGGTGCATGGGGGCGGGGGTAGGCCAGAAGGGAGACATTGGGGCCCCCTTTGGACCAATATCAGAAAGGCATGAAAGAGACAGCTGGTCTATAGAGTGAGTGACTAAGTCCAGCAGTGTCTGGATGTCTGCAAGGACCAGAAACAGATATTGGCAAGGAGATTCTCAGAATCTCTCAAGGAGGACCCAAATGCTGAAATTCAGGCTGGGATGCTACATTCACCAGCTGGAATATCACCAGGTATCCAGGATCAGAAGCACTTCCTGGTCACACACAGTCATCTTAGAGATGTACCTCAGCCCAGTGTCTGTGTTCAGGCCACCTTGCCTCCTCTTTACTGAGCCAAGCTTCCCCAAAGTTCTCCAGGAGAAAGTCTCTCCCTTGCAGATCTCCAGACCCAGGCGTCCTTCACAGGGCTGCCTTCCCTGAGTGACAGGGGCCTGCCTCAGCTGCCACCACTTAAACAGCTCCAGCGGAAGCCTCTCATAAGACTTGACCAAATGTGCTTTAAGGTGGAGATTACAAAAACAACCCACAACATACCAGCCCAGCAAACAGACATCCTGGGAATAACCAAATTGGTGGCTCCCAGCAGCTCTGCCCTCTCATTGCAGCCTGGGTCCCTGAATCCTCCCAGAACGAGGGTATATTCGTCTGTTTTTATACTCCTATAAAGAACTGCCTGAGACCGGGTAATTGATAAAGGAAAGAGGTTTGGTTGACTCACAGCTCATCATGTCTGGGGAGGCCTCAGGAAACTTACAATCATAGCTGGGGAGGCCTCAGAAAACTTACAATTATGGCAGAAGGTGAAGGGGAAGCAAGGTACCTTCTTCATAAGACAGCAGGGAGGAGAAATGCCAAGCAAAGGGGGAAGAGCCCCTTATAAAACCATCCGATCTCTTGAGAATTCACTATCGTGAGAACAGCACAGGGGAAACCACGCCCATGATCCAATTACCTCCACCTGGTCTCTCCCTTGACACATGGGGATTATGGGAATTGTGGGGATTGTAGTTCAAGATGAGATTTGGGTGGGGACACAAAGCCTGATCATATCATAGGGTAAATGGTAAAACTAGCCTTCTTGTTACAGCCATATAGCACAAAGTTTATGAGCCCTGTTGCTGGGTCAGGCTGCCTGGGTCCACAGGCCAACTCCCCCAGTCACTGGTTGTATGAAAGTGGGAAAGTTAATATCTCTGTGCCTCTGTTTCCTCATCTATAATATGGAGAACATAACAGTACTAGGGTTATTGTGAAGATAAATGGAGTTGATAAACGCAATGTGCTTAGGACAGCAGTTGGCCTAAGGTAGGCTCATGGAAGCGTTGGCTGTTCTTATTATACAAGAGTCTTGGGGAATGCCTTGGAGTGCAGTTTGGTTCTCCTGTTTTTATTGGGCCAAGCTTGACTATGTCTAGACCACGCGTTGCTGGCGTTACATTCCAAGTGTGCCTACTTACAGGATCGCATGGGATGCAGCTACAGAAACTGTGCTTGGCACAGCCATGATTCCTGCTCCCAGGGATGTCCCAGACCAAAGAAAGACAAAACTGCCTCCTCTCATATTTATCTGAAGAACCAGAGTAAGCACGTATCATTATTTGTTTTACAGTCGAGTTGAGTCAGACAAGAGAATACACATATATTTATTCTGAAAAAGGAACAGACTTCCTTGAAGGGTCCACCAGAGCCAGTAAAAAAGACTGATGTGTTAGGTATTTGGAAGAAGAAAGGAAGCTGGAGATTAAGTGCAGCAAGAGGCATTTTAATGTTCCTAGTAACTGATTTATAAATTCCTTGTTAAGGCTCTGCTCGCTTGATTCTTTGCCGTGAATATAGCATCACCATTTTTCCATTTTATAGTCTTGGCGGGAGATGGCCTTTTGCGGAGCTGCCACTTAAAGCACTTAACTGTGCCCCGGGGCATCTTGGGAAAAGGCTGATGGTAAGAGCCTGTCGTTGCCCCAGGGGAAGAGCTGTCCCCAGTGCAGTATGGGCTTAGACAGGCCCCTCCCTCTCTCGTTGGGCTCCAGCCCCTCCTCCTCCCCTGCTCTTCCCTTCCTCCCTTCCGCCTCTTCAGAGCTTACCTGCACTCCTGGGAGTCTGGAAACTGCTCCTGCAAACCCCCAGCCCTTGGCTTCTTCCTTGAATAACCAGAATTTCATTCCCATCTTTGGGAAATACCATTTCAGGCTGCTTAAGTTATGATTTAAAGCAGGATAAACCCAAGCCGATGACAACTTTTGGAGGGTTTTTCATTGATCATTTCTTCTGTTACTCTCTTGGCCTGAGTGATGACAAATGAATAGTTCTCCAGGATCCTTTTCTACAAGCAGCGCCTCCCTAAGCACGCTTCTTCTCAGAGTGGAGAGTGGAAGTTCAACTTCGAGGTCAGACAGACCTGGCTCCAACACTTACTCACAGATGGGAGCTTCTCCAAGTCTCAGCGTCCTCACCGGTAAAATGGGGACATGATTAACACCTGCCTCAAAAAGCTCTGATGTTATTCCATAACTTCTTGCAAGGAAGGCGAGGCCGGCAAGCCGGCTGTTACCATCATGGGTCACCTGGCTGAGTCCAAACAGGGCGTGTTAGCCCGAGCCCTTGGCGGAGACCCAGGCATCAGATCTGTAGCTCAGCGTGGCTCATGGTGAGGGTAGCAAGGGCCCCTGGGGGAGCCACCCACCTTGTGCTGGGCACTGAGTCAGTGACTGAACCCAGGCTGGGCACACAGAGGGCCTGCTTCTCCCACCTGAAGGCCAGCTGGTAAAGCAGAAGCACATGGATATTTGAGTCAAAAAGACCCAGGTTCTTATTAAAAACAAAAATAAATATAATAAAATCAAAATAAGAGAGTTGTCAGGGTGTGGTGGCCTGTAATCTCAGCATTTTTAGAGGCTGAGGCAAGACAATTGCTCGAGTCCAGGAGTTCAAGACTACCCTGGCCAACATAGCAAGACCCCATCTCTACTGTTGAAAAAATGAAAAATAAAAATAAAAGCCAGTCTCAACATTTCAGCATTACTTTTACCCCTCCCTTCCCCTCTCCTTTCCTCTCTTCTCCCTCCTCCCTTCCCCTCCCACCTCTCTCCCCGACTCTCACTCCCCTCAGTGCCCCAGCAAATAGAAGGGTCATAATATTATTGGGGTCATCAAATAAGATAATGGATATAAAGGGACTCTGTCAACTCTAAAGCACTTTATGAATATTCACTTTGATGGAAGAGTCCTCTGGGGATTTCTATGGTTGGGGGAGCCTGGTTGGCACTAAACAAGAAGAGCAAAACTCTCTCTTCCTGCTCTCGAGATGACAGCATTGGGGCCTCATCATATTAGAAAACAAAACCCAGGCTGGGAGGTGAGAACCAAATCCCAGTCACCACAGCAATTGGGCTGGTCAGCTGAGGTCACCCTGTCCTTTCACATTGGAATAAGATTGGCCCAAGCACTGAATCCTAAGATGTCTCTGAGTTCTCAGGGGCTCAAAGTCTGGGGATTACTTTCAACTCTGCATTGTAGCTTCAAATTCCGGCTGGCGTTCGTCTCAAAAGTAACAGCTAACATTTATTAAGCTGTTCAGAGTGCTTTGTGCGTATTAGACCATCCACTCCTCACAACCCCCTGTGAGGTAGAAATTATTAACCCCATTTAACAGATGATGGGAATGGGGCACAGAGAGGCGAAGTAACTTGCCCGAGGACACAGAGCTAGGACACTAACTATGGCAGCCAGGCACCAGCGCCCAAGCTCCTAACCTCCAGTGCCTCTATCTCATCACAATTTTTTTTTTTTTGAGACAGAATTTTACTCGTGTGACTCAGGCTGGGGTGCAGTGGAGTGATCTCAGCTCACTGCAACCTCCACCTCCCAGGTTCAAGCGATTCTCCTGCCTCAGCCTCCAGAGTAGCTGGAATTACAGGCATCTGCCACCACACCCGGCTAACTTTGTATTTTTAGTAGAGACGGGGTTTCACCATGTTGGCCAGGCTGGTCTTGAACTCCTAACCTCAGGTGATCCGCCCGCCTCAGCCTCCCAGGGTGCTGGGATTACAGGTGTGAGGCACCACGCCGGGCTTCATCACATTTTAACTCCCATGCGCTACTCCACTCCAACCTGGGCAACAGAGCGAGACTCGGTCTCAAAAAAAAAAAAGAAGCAACTCAAGTGTCCATCTTTATCCAATGAACGGATAAAGAAAATGTGGTTAATACATATGATGGGATATTATTGGATGTAATTAATTAATTACTTAATACTAATGGAATATTATTCACCCTCCATTCAGTGCACCTCCTCTCACTTTATTATGCCAAGCATTCAGTCCTAGCCCCGTCAGGACCCAGCGCTTGCCCTTTCAGGCCAAAGAGGCAAAAAATGGCATGACTGTGGCCTCTGCAGGAGTCCTCCATCCACATAGAGCCTGGTCTTGAAATTTCATTCTTCCCCTTCTCCCTCCCTGACCTTGTAAGTGGAAGATCAGGATTTATTTTCCCACTGAGATAGACTGTGCCCACCCCATCAGAGGTTCCTACAGTGGGATTTGGTGTGAAATGACACATTTTTTCACCCTTTTTCACAAGATATCATGTCTGTCTACAAAACTGTCTCTGGACTGGGCAAAATGGATTAAATCAATGGGGTGTGAGCAAACCAGTAAATAGTGTGGGAGGAAAATATTAGAACATTTATATTTTTATATAAAAATAAGAAATTAAACTATGTGTTAAATATTAACATAGTTTAGGAATGTACTAATATTCTGCAGATTGGTAATAGTATGATTTATAAATAAATGTGCCTGTTTTAAGACAGGGTGCTCAAAAATTATGAGCATTCTCTCATACAAAGATGGGGGAGCAACTAAAACGCTTGGTGACCATGGAACCAGGTGACAGTCCGGTTAGGTGACCATCAAGCTGGCAAACAGGTAATCTCAGAGAGAACTGACCAATCAGAAACCTGGTCTCTAGTGATCTGCCACAGAGCTCTACCTGCTGCCCTGAGCTGTTTGCAAAAGCTAATATTTTGGAGAATAGAAAAGTAAAATGGGTATTGCATTATTCTAAATTTTCTTTTTTCTTTTTTTATTTTTTTGAGACAGGGTCTTGCTCTGTCACCCAGGCTGGAATGCAATGGTGTAATCTCAGCTCCCTGAAACCGTCACCCCCTGAGCTCAAAAGATCCTCCCATCTCAGCTTTCTGAGTAGCCGGAACTACAGGCACCTACCACGATGCCCAGCTAGGTGTTTTATTTTTTGTAGTGACAGGGTCTCCTCGTGTTGCCCAGGCCGATCTCGAACTCCTGGGCTCAAGTGCTGGAATTACAGGCATGAGTCACCACCGTGCATGGCCTAGCCAAAGTTTTCTTGTCACATAATAACACTATATAATTGTCTATATATTCCAAAACCTCTAAGTTCTTTATTTTCTGCTTCACACAACTGAAACACCCTCTCCTTTTGAAAAAGAGTAAACAGAAAACATTCCAAAATACTAAGTGCTTATATTTAAGTGGTACGTATGTGAGAAATTTCTCTTCTTTTCTCTATTTTTCGTATTTTCCGTATGTGGATATATTGCAAAGAGCAAACGCAGGTATTTCTTTTGTTTTTCAGAATTTTTCCCGCCCTAAGCAAGTTGTGTTTTCATATACTCTGCCAAGAACCACACAGGAAACTGAGGCCCACAGGCCTTTATTTTTAAGGATATCAGCAAAAGAGGGCCCGGTGTGGTGGCTCATGCCTGTAATCCCAACACTTTGGGGGGCTGAGGTGGGAGGATTGCTTAAGCCCAGGAGTTCAAGACCAACCTGGGCAACATAGTGAGACTGCATCTCTACAAAAAATCCAAACATTAGCCAGGCGTGGTGGCACATGCCTGTGATCCCAGCTACTCTGGAGGCTGAGGTAGGAAGATCTCTTGCGCCCAGGAGGTAGAGGCTGCAGTGACTACACCACTGCACTCCAACCTGGGTAACAGAGCAAGACCTTGTCTCAAAAAACAAGGAGGAGGAGAGGGAGAGGGAGAGGGAGAAGGAGAAGGGAATATTGGCAGAAGTGGATAGCATGCCACTGGTTTGAGATGTTTCCTTCACATTCCAAAGAAAATGTCGGTGACAACATTTCACATTTGCCTTGCACTCTGCAATCTGCACACACCATCCCCCACGGTAAGCCCGGCTTGGGACTGAGCTTATCCGGCCCTGCCTGTCTGGGACATGGTGAGAGTGGTTAGGATTGTGGCTGTGCAGGCCATGCCATGAGGTTCAAATCCTGAGACCTGGCCAAGCCACCTAACTCCGTGCCTCCGTTTTGCCACCTGTAATGGGGTGTAATGATAATGGTGCTTGGCTCTCATGGTGTTCAAGGGTGGAATGAATTAATCCAGGCAAAGGTTTCAGAGCACTTCCTGTACTTAGTACATCTACCGAGGGATCTGCTGTAATGTTTATTTCCCATGAATCCCACACAGCTCACTCCCCCTTGTCATTTGTTCAAAGGTGCCCTCCTCTGAGAAGCCTTCCCTGACCATCCCATCCAACCCCCAACCCCACTGTACCCTGCCACCCTCTGGCCCCTACCCTGCTTGATTTTTCTTCATTGCACTTATGAGGTGTTCCCTGCTAAAGTGTAAGCCCCATGAGGGCAGAGACTTGATCTTCCCCATATTCTGAATAATCCCCAGTGCTTAGAATAGCACCTGGCCTATAGCAGCCACTCAGTAAATATCTGCTTGAATGAATGAGTACATTCCGTCTCTGTCCTCACATGAAACCTAATTTATAGGGATGGAAACAGATGCAGAGAGGTAAAGCGAAGTGTCTGGGGCACACAGCCAAGAAGTGACCCAGTGCAGCCTTGAAGCCAGGTCTTCTGACTCCAGGAGGACTCACCTTTCCCAATTAGCCTTCTCTGAAGGCCACTTGAGTCTCTCTGCTGGACCCACTCACTCTTCCCTGTCTCAGAACACTCATCTCTGCACTCCTTGCTCTGGCAACACTGAACACCCTGCAGTGTCTCAATCCTGTGACACCTCACTCACCTCACTCACCTCCAGGCCTTACCCATGTCATCTCCTCACCTGGAGCCCTCTCCCTGCTTCTCTTCACCTGGATACCAACTTCTAGTCATCCTGTGAATCTCAGCCTCTCAGAAGGCCCGTTCTTCCAGGAAGTCTTCCTGATTGACTGCCAGTCAGCCACCCCCTCTCTGTGTTCCCACAGACCACGTGTCAATCCGTATTTAATCCTCTTTACCTGCACTGCACCCCCATGTTCTAAGATCCATAAGGACAAAGAGAGACATTTAACTCACAAAACACCCCTGAACGATGGGTGTCATCACCCCCATTATGGGGGCTCAGCTTATCGGGCTCAGCCTGGGCTTTGGGTTCAAGCTAGTCTTACTCTAGAGCCAGAGGGGCCCCTCACTCATGCCATGCAGAGGCCCAGTGCCCACTTCTCCTCTGCACTCTTCACCCTCCACTGGGCACCCAGCAGGGGGGTTCTGGTGTGGGTCCTTCAGAACCACCCATCCTCTTGTCTAAGGGTCTCTCTTCTGCAGACCCCATGACTTGGGCCACACCTCCTCTGACTGACCCCATGGGACCTCCCCCTCAGCCCCTCCTCTGACTGACCCTGTGGGACCTCCCCCGCTGAGCCCCCAGGCTTCCAGTGCGTAACTCTACCCTTAATGTAGAGTCTCTCTCAGGACCACCCAGTTGGGCTTCCTCCCTAGGGCAGAACAGGCCCCCAAAATCCACACATCCTTTGCATCCCTGGACACTGCAAGTACGAGTCAGAGCCTCAGCCCCTCACCCTGACATTCAGGTCCTTGCCCACCTTTTCCTTCTTCCTCTTCTTTTCTACTCAAGCCTCAGCAAAATGAGAACAGGTCACAGCTACTAAGCAATTTTTGGCACTCCAGGCACTGCTCTGGCCTCCTTATGCATTTCAACCCATCGACTCTTCACAATACCCAGTGAGGGAGTTACAGCTTCTCTCCCCATTTTATAGATGGTCGCATAGCAAGGAAGGGGCAAGGCTGGGATTTGAACCCGGAGCCCAGAGGCTTATCTCCTCTACTACATGACCTACCTGGTGAAGCCCAACTACACTGCAGCCTCGCCCACCTCCCCTCATCTGACGATGCCATTCCTTCCGTCAGAATCTTCCCTCTTTGTCCTCCTTGGCTGGCTGGTTCCTCCTTGTCCTTCCAGGTTAAGTTCCTCCATGCTACTTGACAAAGCTCCCCGGTCCTGCTCAGTACCCCACACCCTTTGTACAGGCCTCTGGCATTTATTTCCCCTGTAGATTGCAAACTCCCTAAGGGCAGGGATGGTGCCCTCTGACATGGGCTCTGCGTCCCCAGCTCCTGAAGCCAGGCCTGGAAGGCAAGAGATGCTCAGTAAATATTTAGTGAATGAGCCGCTGAGTGAATGAGCAAAGGGGCCCGACTCTCGATTTTCCAATTTGGAAAGCTTGCTGCTCTCCAGGACAAAGACTTCACATCACTCATGGATATAAATCGACAGTTTCAAAGGCTTAATCCTTCCACACTTACTGCAAACCCATACACACATGAAAATAAATAAGTTTCTTTTCTAGGAGGAAAAAGAAAGCTTTTTCATGGCATCATAAAAACAACGGTTTATTTTTCATCTCCCAGAGTCTGTCTGGGTTTAGTTATGCTCTGGAGCCCGCGAAAGACTCTGAGCTAACACTTACTTGAAAAATTACTGTCTCCACGGCTGCCCAAGGCGCGTGGAAGGAGTAGAAATTTCTCTGTGTGTCCATCTGTGTGTGTCCAAGGGTTATCAATCAACCTCAGAATGGGGCCTGTGTGGGTGGGGTGGCTCTGTCATCCACAGTAAATGGCAAACAGATTTGGTGAAAGAGAGGACATGTAGGCAGGGGAGCTGGAAACGATGGAGAGGAAAAAACACGCATACATTTTCAAGATGCTTAAACCTATTATTAGGACCCAAGGAGTTCCAATGCCCTTAAAGTGGAGCAGTTGCAAGTCTATGCTGTCTTTTCCTGGGTCCGTCAATAACCACTAAACTCAGATGGAGATTCTAAGTGCATTCATTCATGCATGCACGCATGCATTCTGACATGGGCATTAATGCTGCCCCCATAATACTTGCCCCCTCTGCCTGCTGGGCACACCAGGGTGAATATTCTAGCCCCCTGTGCATTCAGCTGGGGAGCTAGAATAACTAGACTAACTCTGGCCAATAACTAACTCCGGTCAGTGAATTTGAGTGGAAATGATGAACGTCACTTCTGGGTTGGGGCATTGAATTGCCAGTGTGAGACCCTTGGGAGATCCATCCATATTGGAGTTGGTGGCCACTCTGCTGGCCTGGACTCGGAGTGACGAGATAAGGGGCAGCAGCACCAGCCACTAGGATGGATGTGGCATGAGTGAGAAAAAGTTGTGTCGCTGTAAGACAACAAAAGATCTGGGTGTTGTTGTTGCTTGTTACTGCAGCATAATCTAGCCTACCCAGACTAATACCAAGTAATCAACTGACCCCAAATCCAGAGGCCTTCAGCTTCAGTCCTGGTTCCTATGACATATTAGTAAAGCATTGTTGAGTAAGTCTCTGAGCTTGAGTCCCCCCAGCTGTAAAATGGGGATAACAGCAAAACCTTCCTCTCTGAGCATCTGCACCAAATGAAAAGCACTTCTGCTGTCCCTTTCCTGTACCTGGGTCCCTACCCCATCCTCTCCTTTCTACCCTGGAGTCTCCACAACAAGAGCAGTTCACAGTCCTGGCATGAGACAAACAAGAAAAAGAAACATCGGCTTCCTTCACCAAACACCAGCCCCAGAGCAGACACATGGCT
Organism: Homo sapiens; assembly: GCF_000001405.40. Taxonomy (NCBI): domain Eukaryota; kingdom Metazoa; phylum Chordata; class Mammalia; order Primates; family Hominidae; genus Homo; species Homo sapiens. The sequence continues at coordinate 5,686,794 of NC_000017.11, read as the reverse complement.
ACTGCATGTTTTCCACTGGAGGAACCCGTCACCCAGCCCAGCCCCAGAACTGACACCTACCGAACAGTTAGCCCCTCAGGAATGTGAGTTTTTTCAGTGTATAGGCCATGTATGTCTATGAAGCTTTGCAAAGAGAAAGAGGGGCAGCACGCTGTCTTCGTCAGCTCAAGCTGCCATAGCAAAATACCAAAGGCTAGGTGGCTTCAACAACAGACATTTATTTTGCACAATTCTAGAGGCTGGAAAATCCAAGATTAAGGTGCCAGCCAATTGCATCCCAGTGAGGGCTCTCTTCCTGGTTTGCAGACATTCCGTCCTCTTGTTGTATCCCCCCAAGGCAAGAGAGCCAGCTGTCTGGTGTCTCTTGTTATAAGAACATTAATCCTGTCACAGCAGATCTCCACTCACATGACCTCATCTAACCCTAATTATCTCCCAAAGGTCCCATCTCCAAATACCATCACATTAGGGGTTAGATTGCTGACAAACGAACTGGGGGCAGGAGGACACAATTCAGCCCATGCTAAATGCATAGCATGACTCATGAAATCTCTGAAACAATTACCATCTGCCCAGCACTTTACAGTTTACAATGCACCTCCCATACATCAACACATTGGATATCCGGAATCAGCCTGTGACGAAGGCCTTGTAGGTGAGGAGATAGAGACATATAAAATCTAAGCAGTGGGGCCCAAATTTACTCAGCAGGAGGTCAAAAACCCAGGATTCAAGCCCAGATCTTCTGCCTCCCAAGCACACTCTCCCTTCTTTACACTAAACTGCAAAACCTAATACGGCCATTATTCAAATAACCAGGGGCTGGGAGTGGGCCATGAACGACCTAGCAGATGAGTGAGGTGGGCATGACGGTTCAGTTCAAGGGCTCTGGACAGGCAGCCCTGAGTTCCAGTCCTGGCTCAGGCTGCTGCCTGTGTTCTGACCCTGGGCAAGTCATTTACCTCCAAGCTCAGTCCTCCACCTGTAACACTGAGGTCACCATTGTTCCTACCCTACAGGGTTGATATGGGGATTCAGTGAGATAAAGCATGAGCTAAGCACAGAGCCCAGCACAAAGAAAGTCCTTGTATTAGTCTGCTAGGGCTGCCTTGACAAAATACCACAGGCAGGGTGGCTGAAGCAACAGAAGTTTATTTTTCACAGTTCTGGAGGCTGGAAGTCCAAGGTGGAGGTGTCAGCAGGGTTGTTTCTTCTGAATGTCTCTCCCCTTGGCTTACAGATGACTGCCCTCCAGCCTCCTCTTCACCATGTCCTCACAGGTCTTTCCCCTATGTGAGCTCACGCCTGCTGTCTCTCCTCTTCTTTTTTTTTTTTTTTTTTTTGAGATAGAGTCTCGCTCTGTTGCCGAGACTGGAGGGCAGTCGTGCAATCTCGGCTCATGGCAACCTCCACCTCCCAGGTTCAAGTGATTCTCCTACCTCAGCCTCCCGAGTAGCTGGGATTACAGGCTTGCACCACCACACCCAGCTAATTTTTGTATTTTTAGTAGATACATGGTTTTGCCGTGTTGGCCAGGCTGGTCTCGAACTCCTGACCTCAGGTGATCTACTCACCTCAGCCTCTCAAAGTGCCAGGATAACAGGAATCTCCTCTTCTTATAAGGACACCAGTTGGATTGGATTAGGGACCACCCTCAAGGCCTCATTTTAACTTACTTAACTCTTAGAAAGCCCTATCTCCAAATGCAGTCACCTTCTGAGGTACTGGCAGTGAGGGCTTCAATGTATGAGTATTTGGGGGAGACGCAATTCATCTCATAAAGTATTCAGTGCCTATTCGCTCTTAGAGGGAGGACTAGAGCATAACTCTCTCTTTCTGTGTCTCCCATCACACTGCCAATGGCATTGCAAATTTGTCTACCCGCTTTGGGTGGACTGCGCTGCTATGCAGTATCTACTCAAGGTGAACATGCACATACCTTATGACCGGGCAACTCCACCCCCACCAGAAATGCATCCATGTGTTCACCCAAAGACAGCCACCCGAATGAATGTTCATTGCAGCCCTATCCATGATAGCCCCAAACTGGAAGACACCCAGACACTTAGAAACTGTTAAATGGATAAATAATGTGTGGTGTCATCACACAATGGAATACTCCACCCTGCCGTGAGAATGAAGAAACCACAGCAACCTGGGTGAACCTCACAGGTAGAAGGTTGAGCAAAAGAAGCTGCACACTGGCCGGGCGTGGTGGCTCACACCTGTAACCCCAGTGCTTTGATAGGCCAAGGAGGGTGGATCACCTGAGGTTGGGAGTTCAAGACTAGCCCGGCCAACATGGAGAAACCCCTTCTCTACTAAAAATACAAAATTAGCCGGGTGTGGTGGTGCATGCCTGTAATCCCAGCTACTCGGGAGGCTGAGGCAGGAGAATCGCTTGAACCCAGGAGGTGGAAGTTGCAGTGAGTCAAGATTGCAGAGCGCCATTGCACTCCAGCCTGAGCAACAAGAGAGAAACTCTGTAAAAAGAAAAAAAAAAAAAAAAAAAGGCTGCACAGAGAAGAGCAAATGCTTCTGATTCCATCTATATAAACAGGCAAAACTAAGGAGTGCATGGTGTTGAAATCAAGACAGTGTTTACCCTTGTGGGGTGGGGAGTGGATAGGGGTACAAGAGGCTTTCTGTGGTGCTGGAAATGCCCCATCTCTTTTTTTTTTTTTTTTTCCGAGCTGGAGTCTTGCTCTGTTGCCCAGGCTGGAGTGCAATGGCACAATCTTGGCTCACTGCAAATTCCACCTCCGGGGTTCAAGCGATTCTCCTACCTCAGTCTCCCAAGTAGCTGGGATTACAGGCACGTGTCACCATGCCTGGCTAATTTTTGTATTTTTGGTAGAGATGGGGTTTCACCATGTTGCCCAGGCTGGTCTCGAACTCCTGATCTCAGATGATCTGCCTGCCTCGGCCTCCCAAAGTGCTGGGATTACAGACATGAGCCACCGCGCCCGGCTGGTGCACCATCTCTTGATCTAGAACCTGGTTAAACTTGCATAAACTCTGTGAAAATGCATGGCGCTATACACTAAGGATTTGTGCAGAACTTTCTGCAAGTTATACTGGAATTAAAAGTGTTTCAGGGAGTGGGGGGTGGGAAGAGAGTAATACCTTCTTGGGGGGAAAATGTCTTGCTCTGAGAGACTCCTCAGTCCACCCAGGTAAAATCCATGGCTCTCCCCACTTCTGCCTTCTGACAGCTCCACCCAGACTTCTGCTCTGTCTAGCCCCAGTCCTCAGGCAGCCCAGCCCTGATCTTTGCTTGGTTTCCTGCAGCCGCCCACCCCCTGCCCTCCACGGCCCCAGAATGCAAATCTCCCACTTCCAGGAGCACAGCCCTTTCGCCTGTTCTCAATCAGTTCTCACCTGCCTGACCTGCTCGCCCTGGACAGAGTGGTTTGCTAGAGCAGGTTTGTGAATGGGAGCACCTTCTCAGTCCCAAGCCAGGAGGCAGATGGTGTGTCTCTGCCCCTCCCTGACCTCCTTTCTAATTTGTCGTATTGACACCTGTTCGTTGACCCCACTCCTCAGGAAAAAAAACAAAGCATTTTCTGCTGACCCAGATTCTACACCTTTGACGGTGAATAAGAAGTTGGACTTTTGCCTCCAGAGAATGAAGCTTTGCAAAATGCTAGCTCAAATCAGGTTAGAAAAAGAAAACAGGTCGGCTCAGGGTCGGGGGCTTCTCTTTGTGGAAAGAGTGCTGGCCAGAGGGACAGGAGGGAGAGGGGCTGGTTCCTGGGCAGCCTCAATAGGTAAGAACAGGAAAGACCCTTCAGCTCTTCTTGACCAGAGGTAACAAAGTGTTTTTCTATTTTGTTTTAAAAGGTTTATGGAGATATAATTTAACCACCATAAAATTCACCTTTCTTTTTTTTTTTTTTTTTTTGCGATGGAGTTTCACTCTTGTTGCCCAGGCTGGAGTGCAATGGCGTGATCTAGGCTCACTGCAACCACCACCTCCTGGGTTCAAGCAATTCTCCTGCCTCAGCCTCCCGAGTAGCTGGGATTACAGGCATGCACCACCACACCTGGCTAATTTTTTCATATTTTTAATACAGACAGGGTTTCTCCAAGTTGGTCGGGCTGGTCTCGAACTCCTGACCTCAGGTGATCTGCCCGCCTCAGCCTCCCAAAGTGCTGGGATTACAGGCATGAGCCACTGAGCCCGGCCTAAAATTCACCTTTCTAAGGGTTCAATTCAGTGATCATTGGTTTATTTACAGAGTTACACAGCCATCACACAACCTCATGTCAGAACCCCTCCATCACTCCCAACCATCACACAGTCTCATGTCAGAACCCCTCCATCACTCCCAACCATCACACAGTCTCATGTCAGAACCCCTCCATCACTCCTAACCATCACACAGTCTCATGTCAGAACCCCTCCATCACTCCCAACCATCACAGAGTCTCATGTCAGAACCCCTCCATCACTCCCAACCATCACACAGTCTCATGTCACAACCCCGCCATCACTCCCAACCATCACACAGTCTCATGTCACAACCCCGCCATCATTCCCAAAAGCAGCTCTGCCTACTCAATGGGCTGCTTTGGGAAAAACCACTGCACACGAACACTTTGCATGTGTTCAGTACTTTACAGTTGGCAAAGTGCTTTCCCATGGACTGTCTTAGTTAAGCCCCATTTCTAATATGATTACCCCCATTTTATAGATGAGGAAACCGAGGCTCTGAGAGGTTCAGTGACTTGCCCAAGGTAACAGAGCTAATAGGTAACAGAGCTTGGATTCAACTCAGGTCTGTCTGAAATCAAAGCCGTTGTTCTTAACTATTCTGCTTGTATTTCCACAGCCTGATAGCTACAGCGTAAGTGCTCTCACACTGTCTCATTCAGAATGAGATTTAGAGAACAGCGAAGGTTTGTAAGGCTCTATTCTAAATGCTTTACAGAGAGTAACTCATGTAATCCCCATAACTAACAATGTGTGGGGTTCTATTCTTGCCCTATTTTCTCAAGCTCAGAGAGGTCCGATATCTTGTTCAAGGTCACTCAGCAGAGCCCATAATCAAACCAGGGAGTCTGGTTCCAGAACCCGAGATCTTATCCCTCCCACTGTCGGTTTTATAATGCAAACAGTTCCAGAGCAGAAACTTAGTTTATCTTCGTTAAATTAAGTAGAGTTGTGTTCCCCGTCCTCTATCTCCCACGCCCCAGTTCTGAATTCATATTTCACCCCCTTCCTATGAGAACAACAAGCTCTTCCTTACAATCAGAACAAACTCTAATTACAAGGAAATATGGCCTGGATGGAGCCTCCCTCGCTCCAGGTAGCCTAAGTCCTAAGACCCTGGGTCCTATCTTCAGTGCTGCTTTGCATCACCAGGGAACTGGGTAGAAATGCATCATCTTGGCTTCACTCCATGCCTGCTAGGTTGGAATCTGTAGTTTGACAAGATCCCCAGATGATCTATGCGCTCATTAAAGTTGGAGAAACACAGCCCCAAGAGTTTATGCCCACAACACCGTCTCCAGCCCTCTCCTCATACCCTCACTACCACTTGGGCACACCTTCCTGGGGAGGCTCACCTGCTGAGCAACCACACCCCACCTGCAGGTGAGCACCTCCCAGGTCCTTCCTCGTGTGTCCCTTGTCCAGGCTTATCCCAGGGTTCCTCTCTTTTGCTTCTGGGAAAGTGCCATTTCCAGAGGTCTCAGCAGCCATGAGTCAAATTTTTTAATTTGCATTCAGAAGCCCAATTCAAACAGGAAGACATAGACCAAAATTTCCCCCAGTCCTCAAGCCTCCCTGTTGCTGACTCCGTTTGCTTTCATCAGCAGCACTACCTGCCTGGCTCCTGAGGGCATTTGACATTGTAAGTCCTGGTTTAACATTCCCTTTTGCATTCACCAAATAATTTACATTCCACAAAAAAAAAAAAAAAAACTGATTCCCACAAGATGCTTTGGGGTAAAGATATTCCAAGGTTAAGTGCATTTTGGGAAATAGTATTATTTCCTCTCTGGTAGATTACAAAGCATTTTAAAGGCCCTGAGAAGCCCTCAGTAAGAAAAAAAAATCCTAATTTACCCAGTGTTCCCTAAATTTATTGGTTTACAAAATCCCTATTCTCAAGTAATCTCTATAAATATTCAATGAATATAGTGTTGCTAGGAACTCATCTTAGGAAAAACTGCTGTGCTGCTGTGGGTAGAGTCATATTATCACTATATAAGGCTAGTGGGCCCCAGGAAATCTGCACTTTCTCACATTATCTACCTTTACCAGGTAATTTTGATGTAGAGGCACAGTGCATCAGAGCATGTATGACTCATGAAGTCACTGATGATTACCATTTGCCCAGTACTTTACCATTTACAAGACACATTCCCATATATCGTCACATTTAAAATGTTATCTTATTCAATTTGGGCTGCCATAATGAAATACCATGGCTTAAACTACAGACATTTAGTTCCACAGTTCTGAAGACTGGGAAGTCCAAGTTCAAGGTGCTGGCAGCTACACTGTCTGAGAAGGACCCACTTCCTAGCTTGCAGATGGCCATCTTTTCACTGTGTCCTCAAATGGCAGAGAAAGAGATAGTTCTGATGCTGCTTTCTCTTTCTAAAAGGGCACTAATCCCATTATGGGGGCTCCACCTTGATTACCTCATCTAAACCTAATTACCTCCCTAAGACTCCCACCACCAAATATCACATTAGAGTTAGGTTTTCAATATATGGATTTGGTGGGGACACAAGTCAGCCCATAATAGATGTGCAATTAACACCATAGAGAGTCTTTGTAGATGTATACCCTTCCTTGAACCAAAGGAACAGACCAGGCATTACATGTTTCTCTGCTGTCTTTTCATCATGGCTAAGCCAAGGCTTCTTCCTCTTTGCTCCATCCTCAACCAATATGGCAGCAGAGCCCATAGGGATGTAAGGCCCCCAACTGGCACCAAGCTGATAGGCTCCATGAGAGGGGTGCAAAGCCAGGCTTGAGAGTCTCGATGGCCTGTTCTTCTTGGAATAAGAACCCCTCAAGAGAAAAATGGAATATGCCCCATTATACTGATCACCAAAAATAGATCAAGTCTCCCTACAGTTGAACATAGTGGCTAGGAGAAGTAACCTTGGGCTGACTGCGTAACTCTCCAAGGCTTCATTTTCTCATCTATATAAATAATAGAGAGCTATGGTGAGGGCTAAATAAACTGACTTGATTAACAGCACTTATCATAGATCTTGGCACATAATGAATGCTTAATAAATGTTAAATGAAGATTACATTTTCCCATCTTGGCTGTCTTAGTCCATTTGAACTGCTGTAACAAACTACCATGGACTGGGTGGCTTATAAAAACAGATATTTATTTCTCACAGTTTGGAGGCTAGAAAGTTCAAGATCAAGGTGTCAGCAAATTCGGTGTCTGGTGAGGGCCCATTTCTTGGTTCATAGAGGGCCATCTTTTCTCTATGTCTTCACATGGTGGAAGGGGTTAACAAGCTTTCTTGGGTTTCCTTTACAAGAGCACCAATCCCATTCATGAGGGTTCTGTCCTAATCACCTCCCAAAGTCACCACTTCCTAATACCATCACCTTCGGGGGTTATAATTTCAACATATTAATTTTGAGGGGATAAAAACATTCAAACCATTTGATTATGCCTCTGGACCCCCGAAATTCATGTCCTTCTTACATGCAAAATATCTTCATTCCATCCCAATAACCCTAAAAGTTTTAACTCATACCAACATCAATTCAAAACCTAAAGTCCAAAGTCTCATTCGAATATCATCTAAATTAGATATGGGTGAAACTCAAGGTCCAATTCATCCTGAGGCAAATTCCCCTCCTTCTCTGAGTCTGTGAAATCAAAGTTAAATGCTTACAAAATACAATGGTGGTTTGGGCACAGGACAGACATTCCCATTCCAAAAGGGAGAAATAGTGAAGAAGGAAAGAGTGACAGGTCCCAAGCAAGTCCAAAACCTTAGGCTTGAGAAAAATCTTCTTTGGCTCAATGCTCTGCCCTCCGGGCCCACTGGTGTGGAAGTCTCATCCCTAAAGGCTTGCAGGGTAGAAGTTGGGCACCCAACTTCTAAAGCTGCCCTCACAGCTTTGCTGGATACAACCCCTGCCACAGCTCTCACAGGTTGGAGTTGCGTGCCTGTGGCTTTCCAGTGCTGGAATCACACACTGATGCCTCTACTGTTCTGGGGTCTCAGGGTGACCTTTCCACCTTGGTACTACTAGGCATTGCCCTACCAGCGGCCCTCTATAGTTTTCTGCCTGGGTGGCACACCCATGACTTCAGGTGGCTCCATTCTTAGAAATCTAGGTGAAGGTAGGCTTGCCCCCACAGCTCATGCACTCTGAGCACCACGCAGACACAGCCAAAGTCTGCTGCCTGTGCTTTCTGGATGGGCAGCCAAGCAGCAAAACCCTGGAATGCAGTGGAGTGGAGCCTGTGATATGAGGGATGCTACACAAAGCCTGCAGGGGTCCAGCAGGCACCTGCAGCCCGTCCTATGAAGTTGTTCTGATGATCTCTGGAGCACCTTGCTATGGAAGGGGTTCATTCTTCCATCGTCTTGAACAATAGCCCCTGGCTTCTGTTCAGATGGCTGACAAAACTCCATGTAAGATGTGGCCATTGGGCCACACCCTTAAAGTTCTTTAGGAACAGACCTTTTCATTCTTTACAATATGGAAAGGCTGAGAAGTTTCCAAATCTTTAAGTTTGGCTTTCTTTCTGATTAAGAATTCCATCTTTAAGTCATTTCTCTCTTTTTTCATTTTACTATAAGAAGTCAAGAGAAGCCAAGCTGCTCTTTCAACACTTTACTTAGATATTTCCTCAGCCAAATATCCAATTTCATTACTCACAAGTTCTACCTTCTACAAACTACTAAGACACAAACACAATTCAACTAACTTCCTTGCCACTTTGTAAAAAGGATGACCTTTCCTCCATTGTTCAATAACATCTTCCTCATTTCCATCTGATGCCTCATCAGAATGGCCTTTACCATCTGCTATGGTTTGAAAGTGTTCCCCAAAGTTCGTGTGTTGAAAATTTGATCTTCAATGCAGTAGTGCTGGGAAGTGGAGGCTAATGGGAGGTGTTTGGGCTATGGGACCACTGCCCTCATGAATGGATTAGAGGACTTTTATTATCCTGGAAGTGAGTTCCTCATAAAAGGATTAATTTGGCCCTTTCTTCTCTCTCTCTCTCTCTCTCTCTGTCATCTTTCACCATGGGACGACACGGCAAGAAGGCCCTTGCCAGATGTCAGCACCTTGATATTGAACTTCCCAGCTTCCAGAACTGTGAGAAATTCTCTTTTCTTCATAAGTTACTCTGGCATTTTATTGTAGCAGCACAGAATGGGCTTAGACACCATCCATATTTCTACCAGCATTCTTGATTACTTAGGTATTCTCTAAGAAGACTGAGACTTTCCCTACAGCTCCCCTCTTTTCTTTCTAAGCTCTTACCAGAATCACTCTTAATAGTCTCTTCACAGCAATGTAGGCTTTCTCTAGCATGCACCTTAAAACTCTTCTAGCCTTTCCACATTACCCTATTCCAAAGCTGCTTCCACAGTTTTAGGTATTTGATACAGCAGCACCCCCACTTCTCCGTACCAATTTCCTGTCTCAGTCTGTATGGGCTTCTATAATATGAACTAAAAACTCCATTAAAGCAAAGTCTGTGGGTATTTTGCTGACCCCAGTGTCCTAGAACCCAGCAAAGCCTTTCACATAGTAGACACTCAAATAAATACCTGTGAGTGAATGAACGAAGGTGTTCTCACAGCTGTCTGCCTTTGCCCACTCATACAATGGCTCACCCAGTACTGAAATTTACTGTTGAGCTCTCAGCCCCAGGAAGCCAGAGACTGTGTCTGTAATGTTCAGAAAATGTCTGAGGGACACAGCTCATGGCTAAAGAACAGAAAGGCCCTCATCATATTGACTGACTGAATGAACGAAGAGGAAATATAACTCTGCATACAGGCTTCAGAGTTAGATATGGGTGTTCTGGGAGTGACCTCGAGCAAGTTACTTAATCTCCCTATGCCCCAGTTTCTCATCTACAAAATGGGAATGATAAGACAGCTTTTACCCGTAGAGTTATTTTACGGATTATATTAACTAGCAGTTGTGAAACCCTTAACACAATGCCTGGCACAAAGTCATCACGTAACTGATGCCTAATAGTAACAGTTGTTGTTATTATTAGGCTCATTAATACTCGTCAAGAACAGGTGCTCAGAACAGGCTAGCATCCCTTTAGGCAATGAAGAGCATCAACTTCTGTTGAAGCTCTTGTTGAAGCATGAAATTTCCTTCCTTCCCTTTATGCAAAAAGACAAAAAGCATGTTCGATTTAGGCTCGAGCAAAGAGCTCTATATGAGACTACAGGAAGGTGAAAATGACTTCATTTTCATTCATCTTCCCTGGGCTTTTTCCTCTGAACTGGCAGCAGAGCTTTAAGCATTTGACATTGGCTTGTCCTGATTCATTACCCTGGCCATTTCCTGCACACCCTCCTCTGCCAGCTAAGTTGTAAAGCACGGCTCCAGATGGTCCCCATCAGAACTTGAGGGCTCACCACACAAATGGAAAGCACCTGGGTTGCCTCTCTGCTACTTCTTGCCTTGCAAAGCTATTTCCTTCCCTGATATGCTTTTTTGTCTGCCATCCCCAAGAAACACTACCAGCCCTCCATTGTCATGTGGAAATGACCTCCAGGTAATGGCTTTTAAAACACCAAATTGCATCAAGTACAAGGGATGCTGAGAGTCCCATCTTCAGCAAGGAATTTTCCCCTGTTTGGTTTGGCCATCCAGTGGAGCATTAGACAGCAGTTTAATCATTATTACCGGTGCTGCACTGCGACTCTCTGGAGAAGCACTAAACTGGAATGAAAAGGAACTGACATAATTAGTCTGACACAGTTCAATAGGGAACTATTACACCAAAGGTAATGAGCTCCCATGATATGTTAATGTTATTGTAAGAAATTATGCTGGTGCAACAAAGTGGCTTTGAGTTGGGGGCGGGGAGGAGGAGACAAGCTATTCCCAGGCAATACACCAATGCAAAACAAAACTTGAGAAGGCTTATAAAATGCCCTTTCCTTTGACCCTGAGGAGCTGTGGTCTCCTAGAGCTGAGAATCTGTTATCAAGACTACAGGATGCTGCAGAGGCCACATAGGCGACGCTGCTAGTGTCCATATGCATAAGTAGCTGGGTATTTCTGCAACTAGGGAAATTTAAAACTCAAGAAAATTGCTCTGAGCACTAATAACAAATCTCTTACAGTTGTTCAACCCTGCACAGCTCACAAAGTGTTTTCATGTCCCTTATTAGAAGCAAAGGGGTACAGTCAAAGGGCAAGAACCTTGCCACTTAAGAAATTGTGACCCTAGTCAAGTAATTTAACATCTATGGGCCTCAATTTTCTCATCTCTATAGTGGAAACAATAGTACCTACCTTGCAAGTTGAAATCATGCCCATAAAGCTTGCATTCTACAGCATGTGTGCAATAAGACATAGTTGGATTATGCTTATTAATTGTCTTTATATTGGGGCGATACTGACAAGGACCAACTCTGTGGGACATCAACATTCACTAGATCCTCCTGATTAACTTTCGGCCTCAGAAGAAGGAACGTGGGCAACATTGTGATGGTCCCAAGCCAGCAAATGTCAACATTTCCAAAATACGATTGACCATTTCCCAAACCCAAATAATCAACTAACCCCCATCTTTCATGTTAGTGGGTGTCCTGGCTAAAGTTGATATGACAGCTGAAGTGTGGACTTTTGTCTCATGTAATTTTTTTTTAATTTTATTATTATTATACTTTAAGTTTTAGGGTACACGTGCACAACATGCAGGTTTGTTACATGTGTATACATGTGCCATGTTGGTGTGCTGCACCCATTAACTCGTCATTTAGCATTAGGTATATCTCCTAATGCTATCCCTCCCCCCTTCCCCCACCCCACAACAGGCCCCGGTGTGTGATGTTCCCCTTCCTGTGTCCATGTGTTCTCATTGTTCAATTCCCACCTATGAGTGAGAACATGCGGTGTTTGGTTTTTTGTCCTTGCGACAGTTTGCTGAGAATGATGGTTTCCAGTTTCATCCATGTCCCTACAAAGGACATGAACTCATCATTTTTTATGGCTGCATAGTATTCCATGGTGTATATGTGCCATATTTGCTTAATCCAGTCTATCGTTGTTGGACATTTAGGTTGGTTCCAAGTCTTTGCTATTGTGAATAGTGCCGCTATAAACATACGTGTGCATGTCTCATGTTATTTTTAATCTGAGTTTTCTGAACATAAGGAGAAAAAAAGAGGAAATGAATGCCTGGGTCCCAATGGAAAGTAGTTGCTCTCTTCATGACTGTTCCATTTCTCCTTTCTCCTTTGATTCCCTTGCAAACTTAAAACAGTGTTAGAATTCACACAGGTACACAATTTATAGCTCACATATCAATTTCACATCCACTGCCTCATCCTCCCAAAACAATCCCAGTGAGCAGTAGGACAGACATTTTCATTGTTCCCATTTTACAGATGAGAAAATCAGGGCTCACTAAGTTAAGTTCCCCCAGGATCACACAGCAGAGGAAGGTGAGGTGGGACGTGAGCTTGAGCTTTGATGTCAATGCAAGGAACAAGAAGGTTCTGTCATGGGGCTGCTCTCCTTTCCAATCCACTTCCACTTCTGCAAACCTCAACGCCCCAACACAAGGCACTCTTGAGTAACTATCATAGCAGGGGCCCTTCTTTCCATCCTAGAAAGGGGTGTCCTTTGTCACTTGGGGGAGTGGGTAAATCAGAGGAATTGGCCGGATGGCCTCAGGCTGGAGAGTGGCCTCTAGTCTCTTATCCCCGGGGAAGGAAAAATCAGTGCCCAGCCCCATTATCTGGGGGAGTCCGCTCCACCCCGTCCCCCGCCAGCACTCTTCATCTTCTCAGACCAAACACACACTGAACCTGAGGGAGGTGTAGGCAGCTCCCTGGTGAGGAATTCGAGTAAGCACCAAAAAATTGTACAATAGAAGCCGGCCACATCTAGACCAGTGGCTCTCAAAGTGTGGTCCTCTAACTGGCAGGATCAGTGATACCAGGAGCCTCTTAGAAATGCCAGTTATCAGTTCCAATCCCGGACCTACGGAATTAGAAGCTCTGGGGTGGGGCCCAGCGGTCCATGTTTTTGCAAACCCTCCCAGTGATTCTGATGTGTGCTGATGTGTGAGGACCACTGCTCTGGCATCTCATCCTCACGTCACAGGGTGGAGAAACAGGAACTAGGTCTCACTAGGGACCCCTCTTCCTTCCCACTCTCCAGCTCACAGCCCCACTGCCTCTTCCACCTGCAGCCCCCTGGCCCCCACCTGGGTACCCCCACCCTTCCCTGGAGACTTTTCACCTTTCTAAACAGTACTGGAATCTCGCCTCTTGCCCTGCACTCTGCCCGCTCCATCTTCAGCCTGATATCATGGGACTTCCCCTGCTCTGTCCCAGAATGACTGGGACCTGTGGGCCGGGGTGGACCAGGCTTCAATTCCACGTCAGGCTCTCCCCACCAACCACAGCCATAACCAGTGTTTTCTCCTGATGACTTAAGGACAAACTCACCTTTCAACCAAAGAATCGAGTTTCCCTGGAGACATCATATTTTAGTTTACAAGAGAAGTGTGACTTCTTCCTGGTCATGTGACTGATCCTACACTTTGTGAAATAATGGCCTGCTCTTATCACATCAGAGCAGCATCTGCTGACTCCCTGTTCCTATTTTCACATCAAGGGGCCAGTACTTAACTGAAAGTGTCTCTGAGTCACCCAGGATGACCCTGACTCCCCATTTCTCCCCTGGTAGAGGAGGGGCACAATGCATCCCATCAATGGGTCACTCTCAGGATAAGGAGCAGGCCTGGGAAGAGCCAGCAACAGGGATGCTAGCACCACTCGACCTCACTGCCTCAGGGGGTGGAGGCCAAGCTTCATTCCTGCCCCCATCAGCACCCACTGGGGCTGGACCTTGTTGGACTGCCCCTGTCACCAGGAAGAGCTTGGTAAGCAGAAACAAGGACCCTAGGAGGGTGCTGGGTTCTACTTCCCTGAGTTTTCCTTAGGTAATCCACAGCACAAGGAATGCCTAGATTCATGGCCCCTAATTTCTGCTCCTCGTTGCCACACCATGATAGCATAGTTCGAGCTCCAGTGCCTCTGGGAGGAGGAGGCCTCCAGCCAGGATACAGCCCCTCTGGCAGACACAGCTCATGGAATTCCTGCCCAGAACTTCTCCCTCGCACAGTTGCCAACTGTACACACTGCAGGGCCTCCCCCAACCCCAGGCAGCCACCCACAAGCCCCAGGTGGAGCTGGTCCCTCATCAGTGGAGGTGGGGAAGCCCTGGCCATGTGCCGATGCCACCTGTGTGGGCAGCAGCATCACTCGTGTGAGGAGCATTGAGGTCAGGCCCTCCTTCCCACCTGTGAGCTGCTTGTCTGGGCCCTGCTCAACAGTCAGGTAATCCCATGAGCTCTCAAGGGACCCAGCAGAGGTTTTGTTCCCAACAGGCTCCCCATGGCCACCAGCAGGGGCACCTCCCAGGAAGCCCAGAGCTTGGACACAGGCAGATTGAGCGGGGCCCCCAGATACCACCTTGTCAGATGGCAGCTCTGACATTTCCCCACAGGCCCCCCCACCATGAGGCTCCTGATACTATCTCTTTCAAGCAGCAAATAACACAACAGTTAGGAGCCAAGGTGTCAGACTCATTTGACCCATGATCAAATCCCAGTCCCACCATTCCTATTTGAGCCTCTGGGAGGCTACTTCAGCTCTCTGGATCTCCATTTCCTCATTTGTTTGATAGGAATAACAGTAATACCTACTTCAGGGTCAATAGCTCACAGTACCTACTCACTTCAAACATTGAAATAAGGTTTTTATTTTTATTTTACTGTTGGCAGCAGCCATAGGATGGGAGGGTACACAAGTGAAAGTTACAAGAAGGGAACCTCACCCTTAAAACAGCCTGACCTGCATCCTGAGCTGTGTCCAGCAATGGAGAGGGGATAAGCTGAACAACCACACTCTCGAAAGCACCCTAATGGCCAAGGGAGTTTTTTCATGGCAGAGTCTGAGGCCTAAGCCATGGCAGGGTTTGATTTCTGCACCAATGATTCTTCTGCAGCTACCAGAGCAGGGCCACCTCAGGTAGGGGGCACTGGGACCTTGTATTTCCTTCAAAGGGCAAAAAGGCCTCCTTGTGCCCAGTGCATGACCAGGAGCCCTCATGCACAGAGACCCCCACGCTGAATTTCAGGCTGCGTCTACACAGCCAAAGCTAGACCAGTCCACAGCAGCCCCTTGCCCTGGGCTTTGCACAGCCTTAGAGCAGCCCCTTACCCCGCCCTAACCTCTCCAGGCTCTTGCCTTTAACCTCATGCCCTGTTTGACTTAAGGCTGTTTAGGGGCAAGTGATCAAGCTGGCTTAAGTAAAAGAAGGAGTTCAGAAAGAGCTAGCTCCAGGCATGGCCGTATCCAGGGTCTCAAATATGTATTATTCAACAAATATTTATCAGTACTTCTATGTTCCAGGCACTGTACTTGGCATACAAACCAAACACCTGCCCTCATGAAGACCAAGACTGCATAAGAATGTGCATTCTCACCTATGTCTTCCAGTGGGCACAGCCAGATGGCCCCTCTGGCCACAAGTGGCTGTAGCAGCAGCTCTTGAGATACTATCCTTCCAGGTTCAAATCCACCACAGAAGAGTGAGTCCCAACAAAAGTCCTTAAAACACTAATTAGACATCTAAGGGTCAAGCTCCCACTGCTGAAGCAATCACTGTGGCCAGGGAAATGGGATGTGGTGATTGGCTGGGGCCCTGGCCTCATGATTCATTCAGACCATTGAAATGAGGCTGGAGGACAATGTGGCCAAGGAAGGGAGTGAGTGCTGGGGAGCAACAGCAGATGTCTTCTCCATTCCCCCTGCCCAGGGTCTCCTTGCCTGAGGCTCATTCTCCTCTCCAAACGAGCTCCTCTGAGAAGCTGAGCAGGCTGCATTGTGCTCTCCTTTCTTCTCTGGTTTCCTCCCAAAAATAATAATAATAAAAATGTATACGGGTGTGCAAGCTACAGTTTACACACTAATTTCACATCCATTGTTTCACCCTCTCCAAATGATCCCTGTGAAATTGTAGGTGCTATAAACTGAAGGCTTGTGTCCCCCTAAAACTCATATGTTGGAGCCCTAACCCCCAATGGGATGGTATTTGGTGGTGGGGCCTTTGGAAAGTGATTACGGTTAAATGAGGTGATGAAGATGGCACCCTCATGATGGGATTGGTGTCCTTTTAAGGAGAGAGCTTCCTCACTCTCGCCTTCACCCTGCATGCACACAAAGAAAAGGCCAGGTGAGGATGCAGAAGGCAGCCATCTGCAAGCCTGGAAGAGAGCCCTCACCAGAACCCAGCCATGATGGCACCTTGATCTCAGCCTTCCAGCCTCCAGAGATGTGAGAAAATAAGTGTTTATTGTTGAAGCCACACGATCTGTGATATTTTGTTGGGGCAGCCTGAGCTGACTAAGACAATAAGGTAGGCTCTAACCTCTTCCTGTCCCAAGCCCCTCCAGGACTGTCTAGAAAGGCAACAGGGTTTTGAGAAAAGGCTTCTGTGCTATGTAACCTGGAGTAGGATGACATAAAGGGAATTCCAGGCTGATGGAAGGGAGGCAGGTGAGGGATACGCCCATGTCTCACTCTGCACCCTACTGCCTTGGACTCTGATGCAGGGACAGGAAGGACTTCCCATCCCCTCCCTTTTTTTTTTTTTTTTTTTTTTTTGAGACGGAGTCTCACTCTGTGGCCAAGGCTGGAGTACAGTGGTACAATCTCAGCTCATTGCAACCTCTACCTCCTGAGTTCAAGCGGTTCTCCTGCCTCAGCCTCCCAAGTAGCTGGGATTACAGGCGTGAGCCACCATGCCCAGCTAATTTTTGTGTTTTTAGTAGAGACCAGGTTTCACCATGTTGGCCAGGCTGGTCTCAAACTCCTGACCTCAGGTGATCTGCCTGCCTCGGCCTCCCAAAGTGCTGGGATTACTAGCGTGAGCCACCGCACCCAGCCCCCATCCTCTTCTCAGGCTCAGCGCAGGAGTGAGAGTCAGGACTGGCCACTGACTTGGACATCGGGACACCTGATCTCTAGTCTCTGCTTTGTCCCTGACTTGCTGGGTGACCCTGCAGGTGTCTTCCCCTCCCTGAGCCTGTCTCCACTTCTGTAAAATGATGAGTTGGGATGTTGTACACACAAGGTCCCTTCCAGCTTGGAGTGCTGGTCTGTGCTCTGGAGCCTCTGAGGAACTGGGACAGCAGAGAGCCATGCAGAGCAGATGGGTGCCCAGGTACCTGACCCTGGCATGCTCCTCCTTCCCTTCACTCAGGGCTCAGGGGAAGGTGCAGCCCAACAACACCAGCGAGCTCAGCATCCATTTGTCCCCCACAGGTTCACCCAGCCTGACCTGGGTCGAGCCACTCGTAGAATTTCCGATGGTTAGTCATACTTTTTTGAGTAAATATCATGGTAAAAAGACATGACATTTCCGGGGCCAGTCTTCAGCATTAATAAAAGATTCCAAGAACAGGGTGACCTTTTCACAAAGGATTTGTAAATGCCAAAAACTATATAAAACCTCTCTTTCTGAGGCAGGCAGGATTGTCACAGCTCAGCATTTATTCCCCCACATGTGAGGCTGGCTCTGGTTTCTCCCAGTTCTATGTGCTGGCAGGTGAGAAGCTGTGAGCACTGTCTGAGGGAGGAGGAGCGAGGAGGAGCAGGAGGGAGGAGAGGAAGGAGAAAGAGAGGAGGTGAAGGAGAGGAAAGATGGAGAAGAGAGAAGAGGAAGAAGAGAAAGAGAAGAGGAGGGAGAAGGAAGGAAGGAGGAGGAGAGGAGAAGGAGGAGGACAGAGGAAAAAAGGAAAGGAAGAGGAGAGGAAGAAGAGGATGAAGGAGAAGGAAGAAAAAGGAAGAAGAGGGCAAGGAAAGAGAAAAGGAAAGAGGAGGAGTAGGAGGAAGAAGAGAAGAAAGAGGAGGAAGGGAGGAGGAGGAGTAAGAGGAGAAAGAGAAAGAGGAGGAGAAGTAAGAGGAGGAGGGGAAGGAAGACGAGGGAGAAGACTAGGAGGAAAAAACAAGGAATAGCAAAGTGTAGGGCAGGGCCAGCCCTGGAAGCAGCATGGGTGGGTGAGGACCTCTCAGTTGCTTAGGAGGCCACTGAGAATGAAGCGTCTAAAGTGCCATCCTTCAACCTCCACCACAGGACTGTCTGTCACATCTGAGCGGGTCAAGCAAAAGGTGGCTCCTGACAGCAACCAACCAACGCAGTGAGAAATAAAAAACGTGTCTTCCCATGGAAGTCCTAGGCTATGCTCCTCCCGATGTGCATAGGATCCCAAATACTCACTCTGTTGCTAGCCTTCCCCCATCCGTGGTCCACAGAACCTCAGGGGAAGGCAGGCAGCACAATGTCTGCAAAGAACACAGGCTTTGGGGTCACACTCACCTCGTTCTGGGCTGGACTCTTTCCAAGCTTCAGTTTCCTCATCTAGAAAAAAGACCTCCCTCTTAGTAGTAGACGGATGGTGCCAAAACATTACCAGGTGCAAACTGAACACTAGGAGGAGCCGTCCCTACTAGGGTGCCCAGCTCCAGCCTTCCTTGTGGTCCTTCTCATTGGTACAAATCTCCAGTGCGTGGGCAGGCATGGAAGCCTGAGTGCCTTCAGAAGCGGATTTTGCTTCTCAGGCCAGAAAATTACATCAAACTCTCCCCACTCCCCTCTCTGGGGCAGGGACCTGGGAGGAGAAGGAGACTTCCCAAGCAGGGAACCCTCCATGTGGAGTATTGCCTCGGCAATGAGCAGCTCTAGACAACTGCTCCCCATACCACTTGCGGCCTCTGCTTGGCTGGAAGCTTGGCTGCCCCTTTGCTGGGTTCATTGTGTAATGGTGCTTGACAGATCCTAATTTTCTTTTTAAAAGACATGCATTATAGCAGAGGACAAAATAACACCCATCAGTGACATGAGGCAATTGTCCAGTTAGTGAGGATGGAGTGGGTTTCCCTGCCCGGCTCAAGTGCTTGACTGATGAAGAATTTTAGAAAGGGGTCCGCAAAGAGCTTTTCAATTTAATGATCATATTTTCAGGGCTATTGATGGGCCAGGCCCTGTGCTGAGCAATGGGGAAGTCCACATAGAGAAGCCTGGTCCCTGCCCTTTATAAGCCCTGAAGTAATGAAAGATGAGTCCTTACCACAGCCCTGTGGATTAGGTCCCATGAAATGAAAGCCCAGAGAAGGTTAGAGATTTGCCCCAAGTCACACAGCTCCCTAAGGCAGAACGAGGACTAGAGTTCAGATCTTTGCCTGTTGGACCACCACTCTTTAGCCCGTCCTGTGGGAAGTGAGCTCCAGACTGATTCCCAGTTGTCTTTCAGGTAGGATGGCACAGTGGTTAAGAAAGCTGATCTCTGGAATCAGACAAACTCAGTGTTTTCTGACAATTGTTATACCAAATCAAGCTCATTTCCTGTTCTGGTGGAAGGAATGTCACTTGATTCAGTGAGGCGGTTGGCAACATCTCCCACGTCATCTTTGTGGACAAGGTGGAGACATGGGGACTAGGTGTTGCTAGAGTTGGGAAGATTCCTACAGTCGATTCCTTGCTCACCCGGCTAATTCAACTTCCATGGGGTGTGGCTAGAGAGAGGCAATTAAAGATGACTCTGGGCCAGAAGCGGTGGCTCACGTCTGTAATCCCAGCACTTTGGGATGCTGAGGCGGGTGGATTACCTGAGGTCAGGAGTTCGAGACCAGCCTGGGCAACATGGTGAAACCCCATCTCTACTAAAAATACAAAAATTAGCTGGGCGTGATGGCAGGCGCCTGTAATCCCAGCTACTTGGGAGGTTGAGGCAGGAGAATTGCTTGAACCCGGGAGGCAGAGGTTTCAGTGAGCCAACATTGCACCATTGCACTCCAGCCTGGACGACAAGAGAGAAATTCCATCTCAAAAAAAAAAAAAAAAAAGATGATTCTGGATGAACCTGGAGAAAAGTCTCTGCCTGCGTGGGCTTTCTTTGCTCTTGGCTTCATCATCACTATCATTCATTCATTCGATATACATTCATCAAGCACTTGCTACTCCCAGCCTTACACCAGGCGGTGGGGGTATAATGGGGTGCAAAACAGATGGAGTTCCCGCCTTGAAGGAGTTTATAGTCTGGTGGGAAAGACAGATAACTCAGTAAGCAGTAATCACTGAGGGAGGCCAGTTACCCAGTGCCATGACTGGAGGTGGGTCTCATAAGAGCAAGAGATGGAAGCCTATCCTGGGGGTGGTGGGGTGGCAGGGAAGCCATAATCATATGTGAAAGGTGAGTTAGCCAGAGGAAGGGGGTGGGGTAAGAGCGGGTTCCTGCCAAAAAGGATAACGTGTGCAAAAGTCCAAGTTTCAGAGGAAGCAAGCGTGCTGCAAATGGACCAGTATGGCCAGAACATGGACTGGGGGATGGATGCGGGGAGCCATGAGGCTGGAGGAGAGAACCGGGGCCAAGTCTGGAACTGCCTGGAACTCAGGCTTCATCTTGAAATCCGGAACGATGCATTGAAGGATTCTGGACAGAGTTGCCATGGTCAGGTTTGTCCTCTGAAGAGAGCTCTCCGGCTGCTGTTGGAAAGTGGGCTGGAGGCGAAAAGCCTGGAGGCAGGGAGTACAGGTCAGAGGCTCTGGGAGCAGCCAGGTGAGAGATTGGGCTGGACACGCATGGCACTGGGGGTGAAAGAAATGGACAACTTCGAAGATATCAGAGAGTAAAAAAGACAGACTTTGGTGACTGAGGGGGGCGCTGCGGGGGCTGGGAAGGGGTCCTGGCCGTCACAGTCCCCACATAGCACGAAAAAGGGAGAAGCTGTTGGGCCTGGCAAAGGTGCATAAGTCCAGAGGTCAGAAGCAAAATCATGTCCACTGGAGTGAGCCTGAGGAGGGAGCACCAGGAAGACACATCCAAAACAGAGCATGGGGGGGGGGCCTGCATGTGCTGAGGGAGGAAGCCAAAAAGGGTCAGAACACCAGGGAAGGGGATGTTAGCAGGGAAGGCCAAATTGGGGAGCAGGGAGCATTGCTCTGAGCCCCCTAGCCAAGATCCCGCTGCCCTTTTGTGTAGGGGTTAGGAAAATGCCAAGGGGCCAGTGCAGGGGACAGCTGAGGATGCCACTCACAGGAAAGGCTGGCAGCTAAAGTGACAGTCCACACTGACAGAGCCAGAGCGTGAAGCCTGCACTGAGGCTGGATACCCAGGCGCGGAAGTCTTAGCTCACAGCTGCTCCCACGGGGCGGTCCTGGTGTCTCCATCTGACTGCAAGGTCTGTGCGAGCCGCCAGCCGCATGTGGCTGCCAAGAAAGCAATTGCTTTCTCTGACTACATTAATAGGAGTTTAGTGTCCGGATCAATGTGGCTAAGAGTCCCGCTGCACTCAGCACTTGTCAAGTTAAATCTGAGCTCAAGACTGTAAGGAACCTGCGTGGTTCAGACACTTCCCTTGGGGGCTCCTCAGGCCCCGGTCTAAAAAGCCGATGCTCCTCCTTTTGGGTGACAGTGACCCCACTCCCACGTCTGCAGGGCCTACCTCACCTGGGAACGTTCCACCTCCAGCTGGAATTGCCTAGGAGGCTCTGAAACAGGCAGGAGTATAGGTCCAATTGTTGCCGGATCACCCTATATTTTAAGATAAAATTCAGAACATCGGATTTATATGTGAAATCTAATGATTTTAAAATACCGGTCCAAATGTCTTTTGTTGTTGTTTTTGTTTTGTTTTGTTTTGTTTTTGAGACAGAGGCTCACTCTGTTGCCCAGGTTGGAGTGCAGTGGCGTGATCTCGGCTCACTGCAACCTCCGCCTCCTGGGTTCAAGTGATTCCCGTGCCTCAGCCTCCCAAGTAGCTGGATCTACAGGTGTGCACCACCACTCCTGGCTAATTTTTGCATATTTCATAGAGATGGGGTTTCACCATGTTGGTCAGGCAGGTCTCGAACTCCTGACCTCAGGTGATCCACCCACCTTGGCTTCCCAAAGTGCTGGGATTACAGGCATGAGCCACCTTGCCCGGCCTTGTTTTTGTTTTTGATAGAGAAAGGGGCTTGCTATGTTGACCAGGCTAGTCTGGAACCCCTGGCCTCAAGTCATCTTCCCACCTCAACCTCCCAAAGTGCTGGGACTACAGGCGGGAGCCACCATGGCTTACCCATCCAAATGTTTTTAAAAACCCAGTATAGGCTAAACACGTCTGTGAGCTGTATCAAGCCTATAGCCTCCAGTCTGTGACCTCTGAGCTAGCCAAGACCTCCGTTTTGCAGGTAAGGAGAGCAAATCTCAGAGCACACAGCTCAGCACCAAGCTGAGCTTATCAGAAGCAGGCCCTTCCTTTGTTTTTCTCCACAGCCACACCCTGTACCCCATCCTCAAGTCTTAGTCCCTCATACCTGAGCCCCTATCTTTGTGTCTAGGATCTTAGCACCTCTGAAACATTGTTGAGCTCCATCCTCCAGAGACCTCTAGCATTGTTCTGATCCCAGCCTACTTCTGAGGCCCTTTCCAGCTCCCAGATCTGTCTCCACATTCTGCCTACGGTGTGAGTCTCTTGGTGTGCCTGGAGAGCCCAGGCACCCACCCACCCCATGCCTGAGCTCTCCTGATTTCTCATGTTAGTTCCTTATTGCTGCTATAACTTAGTGGTTTAAAATAACACAGACAGATTATAGTTCTGGAGGTCAGAAATCCAAAGCAGATCTTACAGGCTAAAATAAGTGTCAGCAGAGCTGCACTCCTTCTGATAGTTGTAGGGGAGAATTCGTTTCCTTGTTTCTTCAGCCTTATAGATACTGCCTGAATTCCTTGGCTCATGGCCCCTGCCTCCGCCTTCAAAGCTCCTCACTGGAGCCTCTGCCTCCGTCATCGCATCTCCTCTCTGATGCTGAACCTTTGCCTCCCTCTTACAGGGACCTTTATAATTACATTAGGACCACCTGGATAAGCCAGGACGCTCTCATCCTGAGGTCCTTAACTTAATCATATCCGGAAAGTCGCTTTTGCCATCCTCACGGGTTCCGAGGGTGAGGATGTGGACATCTTTGGGGGCCATTATTCTGTCTACCATACTCCTCATCCTTCAATCTGAATGCTTGCCCTTCCCAAAATATCTGTGACTCATCTGCTATGGTGGATGGGTCTACTCTCTAGATCCTGGTGAGCTGTGGTTCTAACAGGCAGAAAGACACGTGGACAGACATTTCAGCAGAGGAAGTATTTGCTAGTGTGGAGACAACACTGGCCCTTGTTCCTGTCATCGTAACGAATAAGCAAACACATGTGCGTCCACGAGTAAGGAAAAAATAAATAAATAAATAGAATAAGTGAATACCACATTTCTCAACTAGGAAAAAATATACCAAAACTAACAGGATCACCCTATCGAGTTCTGCCCCCAACCCCACCTCAAACAAATGAAATATTGAGCCTTCCCAGTCATTGACTGACTTTGTAACAAAACAAACTTTGTCTCTGACTTTGGCAATGCTGATATCTAAGAGCCAGAAAGGAAAGACAGCATCCACATACATGCAAGTGTGAGTGTTTGTGCATGGGTGCATGTGTGTGAGTGCATGTCACATGGGAAGGGGACAGGAAACCCTGACGCACAGGTAGGTTCTCCAGCCCCTTCTCCTGCTCACAGTCCCGCTGCGTGTCACTGCCTACACCCCTTGCTCTGAGTCCATTCTCTGAAGTGTTGGGTCAGCATTTTCCCCCACCCCCCAAATCATTTACCAAATTAGATTAGCTGTGGACAGAACCCATTAAACAAATGCACCTCCCAGCCTTGATTTACTGGAAGAAAACAAGAGATGTTTTTCTTTCTGGGAAGGCATCATTCTTATGTGCGCTCACATGCAAAGACTCCACTCCTGCAGGCCTTTTGAGTCATCTCTCTCAGTTAGGTGGCGGGGGGCTGCTCCTTAGAACCAGAGCAGCAGAGCTGAGAAGAGACTGAGAATTCTTTCAGCTCAGTGAGGGGCAAGGATTTGAACAGGCAGCACCACTTGTGAGAAGAACGGGCACAGACAGCCTGGCTCCTAACTCCAGGGAACCAAGAGCCAGGGGACACTTGGAAGTTGAGACTGTCAGAAAGTGACATCAACAGGTGACAGGTCCTTAGGTGCCTTCCCGCCCCACCCCACCCCCAACTAGTTGCTCAAAGTGGGACTATACTGGCCAGGGAGGAACAGCACTGCAGCCCAATTGTATGAACTGAGCTCACTGAGTCAGGCTGCACGCATGTGGCTGGGAGAACAAACTTGGGATTCAGACAAAACTGAGCTCAGCTCCTGCCTCCGTAAACACTCACTAGTTCTAGAACTTCAGGCAAGTCACTTAGCTGCTCTGTTCCTCAGTGTACCCATCCACAAATTGGACATAAAACCACCTGCTCATAGTTGTTAGAGAAATAGATGTTACATTATGTACAAAGTCATTAGCACGATGCTTGCACTGACCATTGCTATTGGTAGTGGTATTTGTCATATCAGGCTAAGAGGGCAGGGCCAGACTAGCAACCTGGAAAACTTGCCATGGAGTCCTCTGAGCCACGTGGAAAGTGACTCTACCCCTCCTGCCTGGGTGTGGGAGGGCCCTAGCATCTGAGCTGGGACTGAACCTGAACCTGAAGTGGGGTTCAAAAGGCTCTGCCTGTGGGGAGCTAAGCCAAGCTGCGCATTCAGCGTTATCACTCCCATGGCAGAATGAACATGATGGTCACCCAGGACAGGAGACCAAGAACACCCGCAGAGCCTCTCTCTCTCTCCGTCTCAGGGGCTAGAACACTGGAGTTCCGTCCCAGGCCTTCTGGTCAGGCCTGAGTGACACAGAGGACACTTGGACCAAGAGAAGCAGGGAAATCCCAGGAGCCGTTGGGTAAGCAACATTCTCCCCTCTGGGCCACTGCTCCCTCGTCTGTAAAACATAGGAGTTGCACTCAGTGACCCTTGGGGCTCTTTCAGTCAGTTGCAAGCAATAGAATCTGCCATCTGGATTTTATCAGGAGAGGAGGTGTTTATCAGTGTGGAGACAACACTGACCCTTGTTTCTGTTGCCATTAAGAATAAGTGGCGGCCAGGCGTGGTGGCTCAAGTCTGTAATCCTAGCACTTTGGGAGGCCGAGGCGGGTGGATCAACTGAGGTCAGGAGTTCAACATGGCCAACATGGTGAAACCCCAGTTTCTACTAAAAATACAAAATTAGCCAGGTGTGGTAGCACATGCCTGTAGTCCCAGCTACTTGGGAGGCTGAGGCAGGAGAATTGCTTGAACCTGGGAGGCGAAGGTTGCAGTGAGCCAAGACCACCCCATTGCACTCCAGCCTGGGCAACAGAGTGAGACTCTGTCTCAAAAAAATTAAAAAATTAAAAAATAAGTGGGGGCCAGGCACAGTGGCTTATGCCTATAATCCCAGCACTTTGGAAGGCTGAGGCAGACAGATAACCTTGAGGTCAGGAGTTCGAAACCAGCCTGCCCAACATGGCAAAACCCCACCGCTACTAAAAATGCAAAAATTAGCCGGGTGTGGTGGCGCATGCTTGTAATCCCAGCTACTCAGGAGGATGAGGCAGGAGAATGACTTGAACCTGGGAGGCAGAAGTTGCAGTGAGCCAAGATGGTACCACTACACTCAAGCCTGGGCAACAGAGCAAGACTCTGTCTCAAAAAAAAAAAAAAAGCCTGGGATCAGGCATGGCATCTCATACCTGTAATCCCAACACTTTAGGAGGCCAAGGCAAGAGGATCACTGAGCCCAGGAATTTGAGACCAGCTTGGGCAACATAGCAAGACCCCATCTCAAAACAATTTAAAAAATAAAGAATAAGTGAACACACCATGTCTCCCAACCAGGAAAAAAGAAACCAAAAATAAGAAGATCATCCTATCTAGTTCTGGCCCCCCAAAACAAATGAAATCTTGAGCCTTTCCCTTAGTTGGCTAACTTCATAACAAAACAATTTTTATCTCTGACTTGGGCAATGCTGATATCTAAAAATTTGTCACGACTTTTATGGGTGTGATAATATGTGAGAAAATTGCTATTTTCCGCCATGAATGGACTCAAAACAAACTCAGTGACCTTGGAAGGTTTGTCGTGCTTTTTTCCTTAAATTCCTGTTGTGTTTTATTTGATAAACCAGAGTCTTTATGAATTCTGACTCTCTTGAGCTTCTTTACAAGTAAGCTCTTTCTTTTTTTCTAAATGCTATTGTC
This sequence comes from Homo sapiens, assembly GCF_000001405.40. Taxonomy (NCBI): domain Eukaryota; kingdom Metazoa; phylum Chordata; class Mammalia; order Primates; family Hominidae; genus Homo; species Homo sapiens. The sequence continues at coordinate 5,660,387 of NC_000017.11, read as the reverse complement.
TCTGAGCCTTACTTTCACATTAAGTAATACACAGAACTATTGAGCAGGACAGAGAAACAGATTCAAGGTTAAGTTTCCATAAGGAACATCTAAAACTTTGTCAAAGAACCAGTCTGAAGTGGAGTCATGTGGCTGGCCCTGGCGTGCACTGAATGTCTGGCTCTCAGCAAAACAGCACAAACAGGAGGTTCCCAGGACGGGGAATACATCCCCCTGGAAATCAGACCCCTGCAGGCGTCAGGCAGGTGGGTGACTGCACCAAGACCCAGCACAGCCTTTGAATCCCTGTGGATGTGGATTGGAATCTTGTCTCTACCATTCATGTTACCTTAGGTAAGTCTCTTAGCCTTTCTGAGCCTCAGTTTCCTCCTCTGTACAATGGGAATAATTAGAATCCACTTCTTTGATCTACTTAGGTTTAAAGGGCCAGAAGCAAAAAAAGGCCCTCAACACACAGAACTTTGCTTCCTATCCTGAGCTTAGAGGAACCAATGTTGGGCTGGGGTCCAGGGATGGGCCACTACCCCTAAGAAGGGGCAGTTAGAAAGGATGAGGAGGGAAACAGGGCCTCATAGCGACTGAAAGAAGTAGAGCTGGGAATGGACCCAGCTGTTAGAAGTGGGAACCCTGGCCAGGCGCGGTGGCTCACGCCTGTGATCCCAGCACTTTGGGAGGCCGAGGCGGGTGGATCACCTGAGGTCAGGAGTTCAAGACCAGCCTGGCCAACATGGTGAAACCCTGTCTCTACTAAAAATACAAAAATTAGCTGGATGTGCTGACAGCCACCTGTAATCCCAGCTGCTCCGGAGGCTGAGGCAGCAGAATCGCTTGAACCCAGGAGGTGGAGGTTGCAGTGAGCCGAGATCATGCCACTGCACTCCAGCCTGGGCGACAAGAGCGAAACACTGTCTCAAAAAAGAAAAGAAGAGAAGAGAAGAGAAGAGAAGAGAAGAGAAGAGAAGAGAAGAGAAGAGAAGAGAAGAGAAGAGAAGAGAAAAGAAACGAAACGAAAAGAAAAGAAAAGAAAAGAAAAGGGAATCCCAGCAGTTGGGGGAAGGAGAGGAGAGGCTGGGGCTCTAGATGGAGGCCGAGGCCTGGTTAGCATAACTCAACCCTAGCATCAGCGGCTGACGGGCTGACAGTAGGACTTGATGCTGAGCCCAGAAGGGGAGGCTAGAACTCTTCCACATCTCCAACCTCAAGTGAGGCTTGATCCTGCACCTGGGCTCTGGCCAAGCCTACTTCCGGGCCTGATGGCCCCTGCTGTGAAAAGAGGAGGGTCTCACAGTGTTGCTGCCGAGGAAGAAAGGGCTGCCTAGGGGTGAGGGGTGAAGCCTCCCTGGGCTACATCCCTGACTCCCACTTCTGTCCGTGGTGAATGGGGATGTGGCTGTTTCCAAACTCAGCTACATTTATTATCTCTGAGCCCTGCTCCCTGAGCAGCTTTTACGTAAAGCACGACGTGACTCTGCAAATGGACAACCTTGGCCACGCCAGTGGAAGAAGTCAAGTTGCCTTTTAGTTCCAGCCTTCGCATGCACTGCCACTCCCTCTCTTCATAGCCATACTGTAGTGTGTCCTCTTTGCACCCAATGGCCCATCTTCCTGCCATTCAGCAGATGTGAGGGGCAAAAGAGGGCAGGTGTGGCAAGGCATTGCCAAGCACAAGCATGGGCCAGCGTGTATCCTCTTCCCTAATCCCTGGCTGGCCCCCTAGACCAGAGGCCTCCTTAAGGGAAAAATCACCAACATGGCCCCTGAATGGCTGCAAACTCTGAGCCAGCTCCACCCTCCCCAGCCCCAAACCCATGGCTTCAGAAGTCAGCCTTGCCTTCTGGGCCTCAAGAATATCAAAGCCACATAGCTCTTGCATGGAGGCTTGGCTTGACCTTATGGGCTTACAAAAAGCTTCCATGTTTCCAATCTTATTAAATCCTCACAGCAACCCTGATAGGTAGGCCAAGCAATAATTAACCACTGCATTGCTCAGCCAGGAAGCTAAAGCTCAGAGAGGGCAGGTGGCTTGTGCATTGCTCAGCCAGGGAGCTAAAGCTCAGAGAGGGCAGGTGACTTGCACAAGGTCACAAAGCTAGTAAGTACCAGAAGCGAAATAAACATCCAAGTCTCTGGCCTCAAGGATCACACTTTCTGTTCTCTGCTTCAGCCATGCCTTTCTAGGGGTAAGCTTCCCATCAGTCAGATGGGCAAGCTGAAAGTGTGGAGGGTCTTTCTCGGGAACTGGCATCTAGAGGGTTGCCCAAAGCCCAAGGTCAGGTCATGTGCAGATTTGTCGTCAGTGCTTTGGGCAACATGAACCACAGACCTAAAACAGTAGCCAAAATCCTTCCCCATCACAAAAAGGAGACACAGAACATCAGGCAAAGGCTTCTTTCAGTTCTCCCTCCACTTAAGCAGCGAAAAGGACACCGTGCTCCCCACCAGGCCCTCAGGTAGAGTCCAGGTTCTGCCACGTAAGTCATGTGGCTTTGGGTAAAGCAGCTCAACTCCCTGAACTCAATGTCTTCATCTTTAAAGTGGGAATGATACCTCCATCCCCAATCTCGACACAGCCCAGCTCCCTGCTTCAGACCTGGGGACTGTGGATTCTCACCGTTCCCTCTCAGGCTCCCCTGAGAAAGAGAAGGCTCACATGGCATCCCCTCCCTCCCTTCCTGATCCCCAACCTCCACCTCCCAGCCCCAGATCAAACCCAGTTTACCAGGAGCCAAAACAAGGAGCTCAGTGCAATGGAAAAATCAGCCCAAGCAATTGTCTGACCAAATTGACTTGTCAGTCACCCTGCCCAGACAGGGCCTGGGAGAATCACCTGATCTGCACACAGGAAAGAATGATTTGTAAGCGTTGAGGCCAGGAGGAAAAACACCCAGGAAAGCCCCGACACAGAGACAACAACTCAGTCTGGGTTTCCATAGCAATCCCAGGAGGAACAGGAGGAGCTCATGCCAGGATCATTCAAGAGATGGCAGCCAGCAATCACCTTGCTCCGCCATCCACCGCTGAGCCATCTGCCCCACGTCACTGAAGCAACAGGTTCCCTCTGCAAAGCCACCAACCCACGTGCCCAATCATCCAGCCCCAGAAAAATTTGAGATCTCCCCACCCTCTCTCCAGAGTCTGCTATGGTTTGGGAGAGGAACCCTAAAGCCATGTCCATACAATAATACATGGAAAATATGTGCAATCTTTTTTTGTTGTTGTTGTTGAGACGGAGTGTTGCTCTGTCACCCAGGCTGGAGTGCAGTGGCACGATCTTGGCTCACTGCAAGCTCCACCTCCTGGGTTCACACCATTCTCCTGCCTCAGCCTCCTGAGTAGCTGGGACTACAGGTGCCCGCCACCACGCCTGGCTAATTTTTTTGTATTTTTAGTAGAAACGGGGTTTCACCTTGTTAGCCAGGATGGCCTCGATCTCCTGACCTCATGATCCGTCCGCCTTGGCCTCCCAAAGTGCTGGGATTACAGGCATGAGCCACCACGCCTGGCCAATATGTGTAATCTTAAGTAAAAACATTACATCTACATATTTGTTCTGAGAGTCTAAGAAGAAAGAGCTCAAGACAGCAGAGCTTGCCCCCCTAAAGACTAGCATGTTTTTATGGCAGACACACACCTCAAAATCAGGACCGTGAAAAGTGAGTTACAAATAACTCACTTTTCTTCCTCTGAGAAGTATTAACTACCTCTGAGATTTCAGCATTTAAAACGGTTCTTTTCCTTATGCACTTTGACTTGATCTGTCTGTAGCATTTCTTATTTGGCAATAGGTATTTCCTACACCACCTGCTCTGGAAATAATACGAAATATACTCCAGGTGTGGCAAAGTCCCTCTGTTCTGTTCCAAGTGTGTTTTTGATTGCTCGTGGTACAGGCTGAGGGAGGGAAGTTTGCTAAAAATTTGGGAAATTCAGTAACTGTCGCTGCCTCCTGCACCCGCGGTTGGGGTCTTCTCTACACCTTCTCTTCCACCCTTGCTTCTTTCCAGCTTCTATCCCTTCCTTTGGTGACCCATTGGGTCCTTCTGTTTTGTTAAGATGCTCCCGCTGGGTGCCAGCACAGGCTCTCCCCAACTCCATCCTTGCTGAGTCACAAAGTAGAAGGTGTGTATGGGAGAAACTGGGTGTGGGGTATACGGGAACTCTCTGTAATATTCTTGCAACTTTCCTATACATCTAAAACTATTCTAAACTGAAACAGTTATTTTAAAATAAAATAACCAACCAAAGAGGAGGGTGCGGGCTCTGCTCCCAGGAGCGAGGAGAAAGCGTGGCCTGGAATCCTCATTCAGAGTTTACGTAAGGCCCAAAGACACCACATCAGAGCAAGTCATAATGTTTCCCACATGAGAAAAGGTTATTCCTCCTGTTAAGACAACATTGACCTTGTCCTTTAAGAGAAACTATTCCAGCACATTGTTGTGCTAAGAAACATTTGACTCTGCATTCCCACTGTGAATGACACCCTCTCTGAGGGCATGGCACCAACTCTGACTGGCGTGTTTGTTTCAAATCTCTCTCTCTCTCTTTCTCTCTCTCTCTCTCTCTCTCTCTCTCTCTCTCACACACACACAAACACACACCCCTACTCATTATAATGGAGGGGGCAATGCATCTTGCCACATCATAAAAATTGAACTTGCATGGGGTTAATAATTATTTGAATAGTGTTACATCATAGTGTGTTATTATAATTGTTTGAATGTCTTGGATATAACAGAAGTGGAGGACCTATCACCTCGCTGAACCTGCACAACCTCTCCCTGAGGCAGGCATTGTGACCTCCATTTCACAGCTTGGGAAGCTCATTCAAAGAGGAAGGCCGTTTGCCCAAGCTGTGAGGTTAGTCCATGGTGGAGCTGAGATCCAGCCCCAGGCCTCTCTGCCTCCAGGGCCAAGACGGTTCTCCCTTATTCCACAGCTACTCCAGGCACGGTTTTCTCTTTCGACCAAACAAGACCCAAATTTCAGCAGAGACTCCTGAGACGTGCTGAGGATGGGGGAGATTCCCTGTGTCCATCATCCCAGAGCCAACGCTCTTCATTGAACAACTGTTAGAAGGAATCCCATGTGCTCAGATACATTTCACCTGATATTCTAACACAAGACAGCGGGGGCATCTTGTAGATATTGCTGAATTGGGCAGGAGAAAGCTCCTACCTGAAGTAATGTAACCAAAAGCCTTGCCTGGTTGGTAGGAAACACATCCGGGTTCAAGGAAATGCACCTGCCTGTTCTGACCACCAAGTTCTGTGTGGCCCAAGCTTCTCATCATTTAAGCATGAGCTTAAATGTCACCTCTCAGAGAGGCCTGCCCTGAGTCCCTGATCTCATGCATGTCCTCCTGTGAATCTGAATAGCTTCTAGAGCTTTTTCATAATAACAGCTACCATCATTTGTGAATTTATACTTATTGGTGAGCTCATAAGATTTTTTTTTCTTTTGAGATGGAGTCTCACTCTGTCGCCCAGGCTGGAGTGCAATGGCCTGGTCTCGGCTCACTGCAACCTCTGCCTCCCGAGTTCAAGCGATTCTCCTCCCTCAGCCTCCCGAGAAGCTGGGATTACAGGCATGCACCACCACACCTGGCTAATTTTTGTATTTTTAGTAGAGAGGAGGTTTCACCATGTTGGCCAGTCTAATCTCGAACTCCTGACCTCAGGTGATCCACCCACCTCAGCCTCCCAAAGTGCTGGGATTACAGGCATGAGCTACCATGCCCAGCCATATGCTCATAAGATTTAATGTCCTGTCCCCCCATTAGGAAAATGGACTCAGAACCTGTCTTGTTCATCCCTGTATTCGCAGGCATCCTTCTTTCCCAAAGTAAGCGCTCAATAAATATTTCAAGAAAGGCAGTTTAGAAAGCTGCCTTTCTAACACACAGAGGGTGTTCCTAATGCTTTTAACACAATGGAAGAGCAACGTACTTGAGCATGAGAGAGTCTGGAGATGGACAAAGGACAGAGAATGGAACACTGCTGCCCAGTGAGGTGGAAGCTACCCTGCAGTGCTCTGGACACTGACGTGGAGGGGAGCTGTCACGGTGACGAGGACCTTCACCTCGGGGGGAACTCACCCTCCAGGATGCCAAATCTGATAAGTCCTTTAGAGGCCTCCAATCAGATTCTGACCACACGCCACCCCTTCCAGTAACCTTGCAGACTCCAGGGACAATCATCTGCTCCTGGGGTCACTCTGTTCATTTTCCATAGCTGCTGCAACAAGTTATCACAGATTAAGTGGCTTAAAACTACACAAACTTATTAGCTTATGGTTCTGTAGGTCAGAAATTTGACATAAGTCTCACTGGGCTAAAATCAAGGACAGGACTATGGACAGGACTATGTTCCTCCTGGAGGCTGCAGGGGAGAATCCATGTCTTTGCCTCTTCTAGCTTCTAAAGGGTACCTGCATTCCCTGGCTCACGGCCCCTTCCACTACCTACAAAGCCAGCAGAGGCTGGTAGAGTCTTTCTCACAACCCATCGCTCCAACCTTCTCTTCTACCTCCCCTTTCTGTTTTTAAGGGCCCTTGGGATTGCATTGGTTTCACCAAGAACAATCCAGAATAATTTCTTCTTCTTAAGTCATCTGATTAGCAACCTTAATTCCACTTGCAACCTTAATTCCCCTTTGCTGTGTAAGCTAACAGATTCAGAGGTTCTGGGGATTAGGTTGTGGACATCTTGGGAGGGACATTATTCTCCCTGCCATAGTCAAAAATTTTGATGGCCACCACTGTCTCTAAAACCCAATGGGCTCCTGTGTACTGTGCTAACATGATGGAGAGGCCGTTTCCCTACTCACTGGCCTGACTAGAGCCCTGGCTTTCTTGGAAGCTGCCTGGGTGGCTCCCTGTGCTTTTCTAGAAACCTCCCAGGGTCCTGAGCAACCCCCTGTGTTTACTGCAATGCTGTGGTCAGCCCAGTAGCACACATCCTTGTATTTGCTTTGACTCCTTTTCTGCTTCACTTTCCCTTTTTCTCAGACATGATTCCTGGGACTTGCACCATCTTCCCCTAAATAAACCATCAGCAAGGAAACTTTTGTCTCAGGTTCTGTTCTCTAGGAAATGCAGACAACCACTGTCAAGTGTGACCCTAGAAAGCTGGAGCTCAAGAAGGGACTGTGGAGTTGGGTTGACCACACCACTTGAGTAGTAGGCACCGGTGGCTGGGGTAAAAGGGCAGTGGTAACCTTTGGCACATAATGACATCAATGCATTCACCTGTGTTTACGAGGATGAGTTTGGTGAGGAAGGTGACGTAGTAGAAGATCCACTCAGCCCTACCTATCCAACCTGGGTCTCTGCTATGTGTCTCATGTCCTAGCCAGGGCAGACCCAGTGACATCTCATCCTACTCCTATGGAAAGTCCCAGTGGCTGCTGCTGCCACTACCAACCAAGCTCCCACTCACAGCACCAGTGAATGAAGAGAGCTGGCCACATCAGCACAAGAGCCAGTCTGGGCCTTGGAGGCTCCAGCTTCCCAGAGGCTGCCTAGAGTTGCCCCCTCATGGTGTTTGGGGATTAATACCCATGGTTTTGATCCACGGGGAGACAGAGATCCATGGTTGATCCATCAGTGAGAAAGAGATTATGGGAAAGGTACAGTAAACACCTACCTTGCCCTTCCTCCCTCCCCATATACTGTTCTGAAGAGCAGGAGTCTCATACAGCCTTTCTGGAAGCGTTTCACAAGCTCAACACATCCTCTTGTATGTGCTCTCTCTCCTTTCTCCTTCCCTTGCTTTTATGTTGCCTCATTCTTCCTTCCCTGGAATTACACCATTCAACAAAGCATTGGATGTAAGTTTTTGCCTCTAGGATCTTGCTCTCTAGGGAAACTGAACTAAGATACACTTCTATTTCTCTTCCCAAGAAACAGAGAAAACAGTCAGAGCAGCACCTTCCCCTTGCCTATATGTGACCCAAAAGGAAATGATGGTTGATGGAATGGAAGTGGCAAAAAGGAGAGAGGAAAGGTCTGTGTCTTCTTGAAATCCAAAATTCATAGCAGAAGAGATGTGGCCTTACAAGGTGTTAAAAAGGGAGACCACAGGCAATATAGCAAAAATAGAAGGGTAATTTCAAGACCAGAAACTCTAAAGGGGAATTTATCTTAGAATGATAAGAAGTAAAGAGCAAGGTAGAAGGTAAGGAACAGAAGGAGATGAGTTTAGAGGTTTACAGCCAAATCTCATTTGCATTATTCAGTAAATAAATTGCTTCATCAGGTTACTATACTTTTCTAAGACTTCAGCCTCTAAAACAAGAATAAAAAAATGGTTCTGTATAGAAAACCATTATTATGAAGGTTAAATCATACAATACAATGTTTAATAAATATTAACAATTATTCTCCCTCAAAGTACACAGAATTTCACAGTTTGCAAAGAGCTCCACATCACTGAATTCTCACAACAACCCTGTAAAGTGGACAAAACCATCACCACCTCCGTTTGGCTGATGGAGAAAATGGGGCTGAGAGCTTAGAGATTTTCCCAAGGTCCTGCAGCTAACAGCATGGGTGGGGCTTAAATCAATAGCTTAGGTCTTTTTGTTAAGTGGTCTTTCCAGACTATCATTTAGAAGTTGGGGGGTTGGAATCATTCTGAAGAAGCAAACATGGAAATGCATGTTAAGAAGAAAAGACAGAGAGTGAAACCAGTGTGTTTGACGGAGGAGGAGGCATATGCCCAAAGACAGAGGCAGCCCAGTTGAAATTTCCACATTATGGTTCTGCTGGGCTGAACCCAGAGAAAGCAGAAGTGTTACAGCTTTTGGTTGTGCAGGAACAGACCAATATGCTGAGACAGCACGGTTTGCAGCAGAGAAAGAGTTTAATGATCACAGGGCAGCCAAGCAAGGAGATGGGAAGAGACCCTCAATCCATCTCCCCAAAGAGTTCTGGGCTGGGGCTTTTAAGGGGATCATGGAGGGCAAGGGGCTGGGAATTGGGGTCATTGATTGGTTAGGGTAAGGGCGATGAAATCTTCAGGATGTGGAAACTGCATTCTCTGGGGAGTCAGCTCCTCGTGGGGTCCTTCAGGCCAGCTGACATTGATAGTTTCACTGGTATGCAGGGTCTGAAAGACTGTCTCAATGGGAAAACTTAATATTCTGTAATGTTCAAGTTGTTACCTATGGAGCAGTTAAGGGAAACTGTAATCTAGGGTCAGTGTGATTCTAAGACAATAGGCACCAAACAACTATGAGGAAATGGGTCAGAGAGCAGCTGATCTCATGTTAATGCCAAATGTGCTGCAAGCTGTGTTTATTTTCATTTCTTTCTCTCTCTTCTTCCCTGATGAACTTTACAAAGTTTATAGGGACAGTTTCAGAAACACATGTGGAAACAGTAGACAACAAAAGCAATTAAAGTAATAGCTGCCTTTTATTGAGCCTTTCTCAATGTCAGACACCATTCAGAGTGTTCACATTGGAAAATCCCACTTTGTCCTCAGAACAATCTTATGAGATAAGTACTTCTGTCAGTTATGATGTTTTAGGTTGTAAGTAACAATTTTTTTTTTTTGAGACAGAGTCTCGTTCTGTCACCCAGGCTGGGGTGCAGTGGTGCAATCTCAGCTCGCTGCAACCTCCGCCTCCCAGGTTCAAGCGATTCTCCTGCCTCAGCCTCCCAAGTAGCTGGGACAACAAGCACGTGCGACCAGTCCCAGCTAATTTTTGTATTTTTAGTAGAGACGAGGTTTTGCCATGTTAGCCAGGCTGGTCTCAAACTCCTGACCTCAGGTGATCCACCTGCCTCGGCCACCCAAAGTGCTGGGATTACAGATGTAAGCCACCACACCTGGCCACAACAATATTATTTTTAACTACAAATGGTTTGAACACTAATGGAGCCTCCCAGCCAAGATGATACTGTAAGTTCATACTTCAAGCTCTCCCTCTGATCCCAACACGTAGCACTCATAGATAAAATATTAACAACAAAAGCTAAGAAGACATAGCCACCTTCAAAAGTAAGATAAGTATTTTTCTGGACTAGAAATGGTAGAAAAGAACAAAGAAAAAAGCTGACTGAATTGCAGGTCTGCTGGACTGGGGCCAAGATGCAGGAAGAGGTGGCTGGAGCTCTATCTTGTGGGGTGGCTGGAGCTCTATCCTGTGGGGTACAAGGAACTAAAAATGTAGGGATATTGATCCAGACTTACTGGGCCTGGGATAGGATTTCCCTGGTCAGGGAAGGAGTTTGAAACCAACTGCAATGTATCTGGCCCAGGGTTGTGGTTTATATGTAGCTCAGTGATGACGAAGGTAGGAGTGGGGATGTGCAGCCTTCCAGCCAGGACCTATAGGCAAACCAGCCAAGTTCTTGGATCTGCATCTTCCTCTGTCTCCTTAAAGAACCAGAGCCCCAACCACCAACATGAGACCAGTCCTTGGACAGAAGCCTCATGACTGGGTTGGAGATGACCACAAAAGTTGAATTGGGGGTTGAGGGAGTTGAGTGGATTCCCATAGTAATCATACATAATTATCCTACAAAGCTAAGTTCTGAAGCATATGAGGAAATCTAATGCTAAGAAAAACAGCTGACAAAACCATACTCAGAAGGTTGATGCAGCCCGGGAAAGTAAAATAATAAAGCAATCAGAAAATATTTTTTATTATTTAAGATCCACAATGGATAAAGGAAGAAATAGCATGACTAATAACAATGAGAAATTGTGAAACAAAAGCAAGCAAAAATATAACAAGGTAGGGTGGACATTTAAAAAAAGAAACAGATGTAAAATGCTGAACACAAAATAGGCATTTCATTTACAATACTTTTCAATAGAAGGAATCAATGCTAGAGAATAAAAGAAGGAATCAATGCTAGAGAATAAAGTCAAAGAGAGAATAAGTACATTGGATGATGGTGCTAATTTAATCACTAAGAACACAGCCTAAAGAAATAAAGAAAAATAGGAAAGAGCTATTAAACAAAAAAAAAAAAAACTCTGGCTCAAATATGTGTTGAAATAATAGCTCCAGAAGATAATAGAGGGGGGCTATGAGGAAGGAATTTCCAAAGAGGTAAGGGCTGAGGATTTTCCAGAATTGAAGAAAAATGTGCATCCTCAAAGACGTATACTAAATAGAATAAATGTCTTAAAACTACACCTATTTATATACCACAGTGAATCTATAGAATATCAGGGTAAAGAAAAAGTTATTTTAAAAAACTATCAGATAAAGAAAAATCAGACAGATTAGCTGCAAAACAAAACAATCTAATGACTGTAAGTTTCTCAGACTACAATAGAGGATAGAAGGCAATGAAGTCGTATCTTCAAAAGGCTGAGCAAAAATAACTGGAAGCCGGCAGGGCTCAGCGGCTCATGCCCATAATCCCAGCACTTTAGGAGGCCGAGGCAGGTGGATTTCCTGAGCTCAGGAGTTCAAGACCAGCCTGGGCAACACAGTGAAACCCCATCTCTACCAAAAATACAAAACCAGCTGGGAGTGGTGGCACATGCCTGCAGTCCTGGCTACTTGGAGGCTGAGGCAGGAGAACTGCTGGAACCCAGGAGGTCGAGGATGCAGTGAACCATGTTTGTGACACTCCACTCCAGCCCAGGTAAAAGAACCAGACCCTATCTCTAAAAAAATAATAATTAATTAATTAATTAATTCAAGTAACTGGAAGCCTAGAATAATATCCTCAACTAAACTGTCATTCAAGACTGAAAGTGAAAATAAGACATTTTCAGACATAAAACTGTTTGCCATCCAGGGAAACTAACTGAAAGAATTGGCAAAGAATGTACTTTAGCAAAAAGAAAAGTGAATCCAGAGGAAAAGTGTCATGCAAGAAACAAAGGTAAACTCAGAAACTGGTAAAATGTTAATAAATTTAATAAATTACTAAGTAGTGCTCTTTTATTACTATATAATTACCAAACAATAATAATGTCTAGAACAAAAGTCTGGACAGCAATAATGAGAAAGATTCAAGGTTTTATTGTACATGAAAGATTCAAAGGTTCTATGGGTAAAGTATGCTAAAGTCTTACCTGAAGGAGAATATAAATAATGAATAACCTTTGACTTTATTTAAAAAACTTAATAGTTTTCTTATAAATAGAAATAAAAATAGAATTTCTTAAAAATAGAAATGCTAAAAATACACATCTCATTGCTAAAAGAAGACTAATATAATGTATAGTCTCTGAGTCAGCAGGAGAAATGGAAAAAATAAAACTTTATCAATCTAACAGCAGCTAAAAAATGAAGCAGAAAAAATAAAGAAAAACACAAAATGGGCTGGGCGCGGTGGCTCACGCCTGTAATCCCAGCACTTTGGGAGGCTGAGATGGGTGGATCATGAGGTCAGGGGTTCGAGACCAGCCTGACCAACATGGGGAAACCCCGTCTCTACTAAAAATACAAAAATTAGCTGGGCGTGGTGGCGGGTGCCTGTAATCCCAACTACTCAGGAGGCTGAGGCAGGAGAATTGCTTGAACCTGGGAGGCGGAGGTTGCATTGAGCCGAGATCACGCCACTGCACTCCAGCCTGGGCGACAGAGTGAGATTCCATCTCAAAAAAAAAAAAAGAAAAAGAAAATGGTAGGCCTAATACACTAATAAGAACCAAAAAATGTAAATAGACCAAAATAATCTGGTAAAGAATAGATGATCCGATTGAATTTTTTAAAAAACTATATGTTACTTACATGTGACAGAGAAACTTTGAAATAAAGGGACAAAAAAGAACCCATCCTTAGCGAATATTTAAGCAATGCTAATGTAGCCAGAATTGGAGGCAAAAAGCTATAAGAGAAATAATGAGGCATTATTATTAAACATAATGATAAAAAGGAACACAGTCCACCAAAGAGACAGAACAATCATAAACTCCTGTGAGTCTAAATATCCTGTCTTAAATATATAAAGCAAAAACTGGTAGAGTTCCAAGGAAATATTGACAAATACCCAATCACAGAGGAAGAGTTTAGTGTACCTCCCCAGAGACAAATAAATCAAGCAGTAAGGATATTGATTATTCGAACCACATAATTAAAAGTCTTGATGTAATAGATAAATCTGGAATCTTCCTCCCAATAAGCATGGAATATTAATTCGTTTCAGACACGCAAAGCATGTTATAAACATCGACAATGCACTGGGTCACGAAGACAGTACCAACAAATTTGAAAGAATCCGTGTCACACAGACTATGTTCTCCAACCAATTCATTTGTATTACAATTCAACAATGAAAGTAGTTTAAGATGCATTTGGAGAAGAAAAAATATGCTCCCAAATAACATGGGTTAAAAAAGAAATTCACAATGAAAACTTATGAAATATTTAGCGCTAAATGACAATCACTATGCTTGATGCAAAATCTGCAGGACATGATTAAAGCTCTGCCTAGAGGAAAAATTTAGCCTTCAATGTATTTATTAAAAATGAAGAAAGATTAAAAATAAATGAGTTCCTTGTTCAACTGAAGAAGCTAGGAAAAGAAAATCAGGGTAGAATAAAAGAAATAATAAAAATGGGAGCAGAAATTAATGAAAGGGAGAAAGTCTTAGAGAGGATTGACCAAAAACAGACTCTTTAAAAGATCAACAATATAGACAAACCTCAAACAAGGAAAAAGGATACAATAAATACTTGAAACCACACAAGAAAAATATGAACTTCAAGTCAATGAGACATGAACAATTTTCTGTAACAACATAAATCCTAAAAACTAACTGGAAGATACATAAAAAACTTAAATAAACCAATAACGTCAAGAAAATATAATGGGGCCAGGCACAGCGGCTCACGCCTGTAATCCCAGCAGTTTGGGGAGGCTGAGGCGGGCAGATCACTTGAGATTGGGAGTTTGAGACCAGTCTGGCAAACATGATGAAACCCCATCTCTACTAAAAATACAAAAATTAGCCAGGCATGGTGGCGCGTGCCTGTAATTCTAGCTACTCAGGAGGCTGAGGCAGGAGAATCGCTTGAACCCAGGAAGCGGAGGTTGCAGTGAGCCAAGATTGCACCACTGCACTCCAGCCTTGGCAACAGAGTGAGACTCTGTCTCAAAAAAAAAAAAAAAAGAAAGAAAGAAAGAAAAAGAAGAAAGAAAATATCTCCCTTTCCAAAGACACCAAGCCCAGACAGTTACAGAAGCAAGTTTTACCAAACCCTCAAAAACAAGTAATTCTTATTTTACAAAAGCTTATTCAGAGAATTGGGGGGTGTAGGGTGGATAACGCTTCTCATTTTATAAGGCTAGTATGTTCTTGCTACCAAACTGGACAAGGACAGTATAAAACAGTAAAATCAGACTTTTAAGTTTATTAACAGAGATACAAAAATCTTAAAGAAAATAGTGGCAAATCCTCTCCAGCAGTATGCAAAATATAATTATGTCCAAAAAATATAATTATGTCCAAATACCTTCCAGAAATGCGAAGGTAGCTCAAAATTAGGAAATATTTTGACCTAATTCAACATATTAACAGATTATGGAGAAAAATTATATGATCATTTCAAAAGATACACCAAAACCACTCAATAACATTTACCACATTCATGATTTTTTAAAAGAGGGAAGAAAACTCGGCCGGGCGCAGTGGCTCACGCCTGTAATCCCAGCACTTTGGGAGGCCGAGGCGGGCGGATCACAAGGTCAGGAGATCGAGACCATCCTGGCTAACACAGTGAAACACCGTCTCTACTAAAAATACAAAAATATTAGCCGGGCGTGGTGGCGGGCGCCTGTAGTCCCAGCTACTCAGAAGGCTGAGGCAGGAGAATGGCGTGAACCCGGGGGCGGAGCTTGCAGTGAGCCAAGATCGCGCCACTGCACTCCAGCCTGGGCGACAGAGCGAGACTCCGTCTCAAAAAAAAAAAAAGAGGGAAGGAAACTCTTAGCAAAATACAAATAGAATGTCATTTCCACACCAAATAAAGCATAGGTATCAAAAATGTCCAGTAAACATTATAGTTAATAATAAAAATTTAGGCTGCTTCCCAATTAAATCAGGAAAAAGACAAGGATGTCTGCTATTGACAGCACTATTAAAAATTGTACTGGAAGTCTAGCTAGTGTGCTAGAGAGTAAGGACTGGAAAGATTGCACAGGATCTGGATTTTATAAAAATTAATCAATTAATTAAAATTTAAACTGTAAAAAGAACTGGAAAGAAAGCTATTAAATACAAATTTGTCATTCTTTTCAAATGATAGGCTTATCTGCACTAAAAATGCTTAGTAGGGCCGGGCACGGTGGCTCACACCTGTAATCCCAGCACTTTGGGAAGCTGAGGCAGGCGGATCACAAGGTCAGGAGTTCGAGACCAGCCTGGCCAAGATGGTGAAACCCCCATCTCTACTAAAAATATAAAAATTAGCCAGGCACAATGGCCAGCTCCTGTAATCCCAGCTACTCGGGAGGCTGAGGCAGGAGAATCACTTGAACCCAGGAGGTGGAGGTTGTAGTGAGCTGAGATCACGCCACTGCACTCAAGCCTGGGCGACAGTGCGAGGCTCCGTTTCAAAAAAATAATAATAATAAAACTTAATAGGCACTCAGGGACTGAGTGAGTGACTGACTAAATAAATAAATAAATAAATGAAATGCAGTTTGGTTCCATGGGGTCAAGGACAAACACAGCAGAATGTCATAGTTCCCTGGAGGCTCAGAGCTTTGGGAGGCCAGCTCACCTGTTCATTAGACCACATAGCTGTGCCTCAGAATTCATAAAAGCCTTCTGTCCTATTGATCCTGCCTTGATTTAAAATGTTGCTATTATTTCATCATGAGTATTTTGTATTAATTGGGGTTTTCAGATATCATTAAAATACTGCTTATCTTCATTACCGAGTTGTTTGGTGCCCCCTTAAATTTTGTGGGTGCCTCACTTGCACTTGCCTCGCCCCAGTCCCGGCCCTGCAGAGGCTGATGAAGTTTTATGCACTGATGCTGTCTGCCCAAAAAGTGGAGCTGGAGCCTCAGGGCTGAGAGGCGTCCGATCTATTAAGGGATCCCCTGCTTTCCCGACTCCTACACATTGCTGTCATTCAGTCAGATGAGACAAGCAAAGCTGACAGCCTTCCAGTCTGAGGCTGAGGAGGTGGGAGTTGTGCCCAGGAGCCATTTTCACTGCCAATGCCAGGCCTGGTTTCTTTCCATAGCTGGGGAAGGCCCTGTTTACTGTTCAGCTGAGCAGCCTTCTGGTTTATTGTGCCCCAGCAGGACCCAGCCCTCTCTGAGGACCCTGCAGTCCAGAGAGCTACCATCCTACCACCCCTTGAAAAACAGCCACCTGCACACAGCCCCACAGGATCCCCAACTCACCCACTCTCAGGTCTTAGTCCAGGGAACCTGCATTTATGCTCCCCGCCTTATGCCAAATAGGCAGGCCATAGATCTTAGAGGTTAAGAGCAGCCCTCGCTGAAATTCAAATCTTACTCATATGTGAGAGATTAAAAAAAAAATTGATCCCCTGGAGGTAGAGAGTAGAATAATAGTTACCAGAAGCTCGGAAAAGGAGTGGGGATGGTGGATAAAGAGGGGTTTGTAATGGGAAAACACTGCTGGATAGAAGGACAATATCTAGTGTTCAACACTACAGCAGCGTCACTATAGTTAACAATAACTTACTGTATATTTCAAAACAGCTAGAGGAGTGGATTTGGAATGTTCCCAACACAAAGAAATAATAAATGTTTAAGGTGATGCAGAGCCCAAATACCCTGATTTGATCGTTACAAATGGTATGCATGAATCAAAATATCACATGTACTCCATAAATATGTACAATTATTATGTACCCATTAAAATTTTTTTTAATTCCAGCTCTGCCACTTACTACCTGTGTGCCACTGGTAACATTATGGTGAACCTTTCCAAGCTTCCATTTCCCATCTATAAAAAGGTCATGGAAACACCTGCTCCCAGGGCTTGTGAAAGGATGGAATGGAGGTGATGCCATAAAGTGCTTGGCACAGTGCCTGACACCTGCTTTGTCCTCTGCACACATCCATCAACAGACATGTCATTGACAGTATTAAAGAAAGCTTTAACAGGCTGGGCGCGGTGGCTCATGCCTGTAATCCCAGCACTTTGGGAGGCCGAGATGGGTAGATCACCTGAGGTCAGGAGTTCAAGACCAGCCTGGCCAACATGGAGATACCCCATCTCTACAAAAATACAAAAATTAGCCGGTCTTGGTGGCGCCCGACTGTAATCCCAGCTACTCAGGAGGCTGAAGTGGGAGAATAACTTGAACCCAGGAGGCGGAGGTTGTAGTGAGCCAAGATCATGCCATTGCACTCCAGCCTGGGCGACAGAGCAAGACTCCATCTCAGAAAAGATAAGAAAAGAAAAGAAAAGAAAAAAAGAGAAGAGAAGAGGGGAAGGGAAGGGAAAAAGGAAAGGGAAAGGGAAAGAAAAAAGAAAAGAAAAGAAAAGAAAAGAAAAGAAAAGAAAAGAAAAGAAAAGAAAACTATAAGCCATAGGATGTGGGAGTGAACCATGAAGAGGGTGAGTGCTTTGCCATGAACTTGGGGGTCTCATGCCAGAGGCCACACTGGAAGAATGAGAGGACTTCAGTAGGGAGAAGAGCTGAGGTGACGTGCTAGGCTGCGGGGACACATCAGCATGTCAGGCCTTAGAGGACAGAGCAAAACAGGGGAGCACAGGACAGGTGGAGGGACACCTGTGAGTAGTTAGGAGGCTAGGAGCCGACGTGAGAAACTTAATGCTCTGTGCAAATGAGCTGGG